>NC_000005.10:179973802-180124248 GCF_000001405.40 Homo sapiens | reverse complement strand
TTCTTTTTTTTTTTTTTGAGACAGAGTCTCGCTCTGTCGCCCAGGCTGGAGTGCAGTGGCGCTATCTCGGCTCACTGCGAGCTCTGCCTCCTGGGTTCATGCCATTCTCCTGCCTCAGCCTCCCGAGTATTTTCTTTGAGGGATGACTTTCGTGTACTGATTCAAGGTTATTCTTGTTTGTTTGTTTGTTTCGTTGTTTATTCTTGTTATTAATTTAATGGTTTTAGGACTATTTAGGTTTTATGTTTCTTCTTTAGTCTGTTTTGTAATTTATATTTTCCTAGGAATTTGGCCATTTCCCCTAAGTTTCCAAATTTATAGACATACAATTATTTGTAATATTCTCTAGGTATCTTTTTAATTTCTTCACATCTACATTGATCCATCTCTAGTATTTTGATTATTTACACCTCTCTTTGTTTCTTTATCAATCTTATCCGAGGTTCATCAATTTTATTAATGTTTTCAAATAAAGATCTTTTGACTTTGTTGATTCTGTAGATTGCAGTTTTTTTTACTATTTCATTTCTTTCTTCTCTACTCTTTATTATTTCCTTCCATCTACTTTCTTTGGATTTATACTGTTATTCTTTTTCTAGTTTCTTATGTTGGATGTTCAGCTTGTTTTTATCCTTCTTTTCTAATAAAAGCATGAAAGATGGTTGATTTCTTTTTACATAAATTTTTATTTACAGCCTCCAAGTTTTATTTTTTAACATTTTCATTATCATTCTAATTCCATTATGATTTCATCTTTGAAACATAGATTATTTCAAAAAATTTTTTAAGTTTCTGAACATTTGAAAAGAATGCGTATTCTCAAGTAGTTAAGTTCAAGTTTCCGTGTTTGTTTATTGCTTCAAATTGTGTTGCTGAGATTCATATTCATCCTGGGTTGCGTTTTGTTTTTCTTTTTCAATCTCCCTAAGCTACTAGTTACCGTCATGTGTGTTAAAATCTTCCATGTGACTGTAGGACTCAACTTCTCCTGATAAAGAACTTCAGCTTTCTGATTGTTTTTGCCTCCATATATTGAACCTATGTTACTAGCTGCAATCAAGTTAAGACTTGTGACATATCCCTGATGAGCTGACCCTTTTATCATTATGCAATTTCTCCTACAGCTTTTTGCCTCAGGGTCTTTTTTGTTGCCTTAAAGTCTATTTTGTTCAATGTTAATATAGTTACGTAATATTTATCAGATATATTTTTCTCTTTTTTTTACTTATATCCTTGTGTTTGGAGTGTATCTCTTGAAAGTGGCAAGCAGCTGCATTTGTTAATTACAGTGTTGTAATCACTAGTCCATAAGAATTTGTTCTTGCTATCTTCTGTTGTACCACATAGTTATCTTCCTTATCTGTTTCTTTTTCCTCCTTCCTTTGCTTCCTTTGGATGAATAGGTCCCCCATTCCATCTTCCCCTCTATTTATTGAAAGTTACCCTGGCAGTTTTTTGGGGATTTTTTTTTGTTTTTTGTTTTTGTTTTAGTTTTTTTTTTTTTTTTTAGATGAAGTTTCGCTCTTGTTTCCCAGGCTGGAGTGCGGTGGCACAATCTCGGCTCACTGCAACCTCTGCCTCCCGGGTTCAAGCGATTCTCCTGCCTCAGCCTCCTGAGTAGCTGGGATTACAGGCACCCACCACCACATCCAGCTAATTTTTGTATATTTAGTAGAGACAGAGTTTCATCATGTTGACCAGGCTGTTCCTGAACTCCTGACCTCAGGTGATCCACCCACCTTGGCCTCCCAAAGTGTTGCGATTACAGGCGTGAGCCACTGCGCTTGGCCTACCCTGGCAGTTTTAACAAACACATTTAGGTTAAGTTTCATCTTTTAAATGGTGGTATATTATACAGTGGAAAGTTCTAAATCCATTTAAAAATTTTTTTTCCAAAGGATATGTTATGGCACAGGGAAAGGTTCGCATAGCAAGGCATGGGAATATATATGGTTATGATAGATGCATGCATACACACAGCTGGTGCCCATTACTCCCAGCAGCTGCAGCACCGAGTGAGGGAGCACAGAACCATCGCTCCCGGGGGGAAATGCAAGGTTAGGCTCCTGTGAGACTCTCATCACAAGGCTTTTGCCAGCGGATCAATATATCACCTTGTTTTATGTGTGCTTATGTTTAAAGACATTATTTAATATAAATTATTGATTACTATTGATCTCATGGCTAACAGTGCTGTTACTCACAGCTGAATGCTGATGTCACACACATTTTCTCTGTGAGGCACAGAGCAGCCTTTGTGCGCATGGGAATACTAGACGGCACTTCAGCACCATGCTTGGGGGCCTTTCTCAGCAATGAAATTATCAGCAAAAAGCATGAAAATGCAAAGGACATGATACTCAGTAGGCCAAGTCTGAGCGTGTGATGCGGGACAAAGCATTGCTTAGCCTCCTCTGGAGATGCTTGCGGACGCTCATGACTTCGATATTTTTGCCACCGCACACGTGTGTACAGACGACCACGAAAGTGACACAAGTTTTTGGGGTTACGAATACATTTTAGAGAGCAGGCAAATTTGCAAATACAGGATCCAGGAATAATGAGGGTGTGTGTGTGTGTGTGTGTGTGTGTGTGTGTGTGTGTGTGTGTGAAGTTACATTTTAAAATGTATTTTTAGCCGGGCGCAGTGGCTCACGCCTGTAATCCCAGCACTTTTGGAGGCCGAGGTGGGCGGATCACGAGGTCAGGAGATGGAGACCATCCTGGCTAACACAGTGAAACCCCGTCTCCACTAAAAATACAAAAAATTCTCTGGGCGTGGTGGCGGGCGCCTGTAGTCCCACCTACTCGGGAGGCTGAGGCAGGAGAGTGGCGTGAACCCGGGAGGCGGAGCTTGCAGTGAGCCGAGATCGCGCCACCGCACTCCAGCCTGGGCGACAGAGCGGGACTCCGTCTCAAAAAAAAAAAAATGTACTTTTAAGAGGACTGAAAGCGTACATACCAAATCTTTGGTATTTCTGGATGGTTTGGGGGTTTTAACATTTCCCAGATCGTAAGGATCATGAACTGACTTCATGCTCTAAAAGATGATAGACAAAAAGGCTCAGAACGTGGTCCCGTGTGCTGTGTTTGTTCTAGCCCTGCTTCAGTGACAAGACCAGCAACCTGGAGGCTTATGTGAAATGGTTCAACAGGCTGTGCTACCTGGTGGCAACTGAGATCTGCATGGTGAGTAGACAGCCAGGGTGGGCACCACCTGGCATAGCCCCAGGCGGCCGGAGTTGGGAGGAGCCCACGGGGGAAGGAACCGGAAGGACACCTTGAGTCTTATTCATTTCTAAGTCCAAGGCCAGGCTGGGCACCCCTCCAGGACTCCAGGTGACACCAGCTTTCCTACAGTGACATTTCCCTCCAAGTAGAACCCAGGCCAGATCCACCGGCCAGGCACAGAGGGTGCTGGAGAGGGTTTGCTGAAGGAGTGAGAGGCCGTCACTCCCAGCCCCAGTGGCTCTGCTCTCTCCATCTGTGCCGGCCTGCCTTGGGCAGCCTGGCCTGCAACGGGCCTCGTTTGGCTGGCTCGGGACCTAGAGGAGGACGAGAGCCGACCTTTGAGCACTGGGAGATGCACGTAAAAGCCCGTGGTTCTAGCTGCTCCTGGAAAGCACCAACACTCAGCAGCCTGGAGCCAGACGTGCTTGTCCCTGAGTCGCGGTCCCGCCTGGCCACACCCACCCGTCCTCCTCCTTGCAGCAGAGGGACCCTCCTCTGAACCCACTCTCTCACCTTGAGCTGAAGCCCAGGGGGCTGCTCATCTCAGGGCCAGGCTGGAGGCAGCGCTGGGCCAGGCTGGGCTCTCCGCAGCAGGTGCTGAGACTGAGTATGGGGCACATGTTCATGAGGGGTCCACACCTGCGGAGAAGAGTAGAGAGGAGGCGGCCCCATGCGACGTGGCGATGGACACAGGAGTTGGCCTCTGTCCCCCACCTGGCTCAGCCCCCATCACAGGGCGGACTGCCCTTCAAAGGACAGGGCCAGCCTTGGGTGCGCAGCTCTCTGTGGCCAAGACAGCCCCTGGAAGGGGGTTTGGTGACACATCTCAGAGCACAACACCCCACTTCTTGGTGACAGTAAAGACCCCTTGGTGCATCTTTGGTAGGCAAGCAACACCGACCTGTGTGGAAAGAATGCAACGCGGGCCCCACCGGCCCAGCCCACTTCCTACCCTCACGCCGCTGGCTGCAGGCGAGAGGGCCGAGCCTGGGCGAAGCCTGGCCTGAGCCCCCCAGGGAGCCAGCTGCAGCCCAGGATGGCTGGGGAAGGACATGGTGTGGTTCTGCGCATCACAGGGGTCTGAAGTCCCGAGCGCCTGGCCACAGACAAGGGTTTACCAGTCACGCAGTTGTCAGATGGAGAGAGCGGAGGGGCTGCTCGAGGGACAGGCCTCAGGGCCAACTTGTACCCCAGTGAGAGGAGAAAGCCCAGGGCTGGGGGCAAGTAGTTGGGGCTCTCTAATTCAGGGGAAGAGTGGGGTGGGAGCTGGGCCCAGAGGGAGGAGGGCGCTGGAGGGGAGCCATGGAGCCTCTCCTGAAGGTGCCTCTCAGCAGCTCCAGGGCTACAGGGGGTACCCGTGCCCCCACCGGGCCCACCTAGCCCTCTATGGCATTGGGCTCTGCTGGCTCAGCCCATGAAGCACTCTGAGACCCTGTTTACCCTGAGCCTCAAGTGCCTCAGCTGTGCAATGGGTTTAGAGAAGGTGAAGCGGGCCAGGTGAGGGGAGCGGGCCTGATCAGGGCAGGGTGGAGGCGTGTCACCACTGAGGCTCTGCTGCCCTGTCCCCAGCCAGCCAAGAAGAAGCAGAGGGCCCAGGTGATTGAGTTCTTCATCGACGTGGCCCGCGAGTGCTTCAACATCGGCAACTTCAACTCCCTCATGGCCATCATCTGTGAGTGGGCCGGCCTGGCCTGTGGCCCCCAGTGCACGGGTCCCCCGAGAGGCCGGAGTGGGTGCAGCCAGGCAGGCAGAGTGCAAGCCAGGGCTCTCCTCTGAGCAGCGGGAGGGCGTGGGCCGGGCTCTCTGAAGGCCTGGGCAGCCCCATGTCCCCACCTCAGAGGTCCTGGGGAGCCACCCCTTTTGAGGCAAGCCCAGCCCCCTCGGGATGTTTGGTGAGGGCTTGGTGGTATGTCCCCAGACCCAGAGAGAACGAGGGCCCAGTGCAGGTGCTTGGTACAGAATGGGACCAGCATGGTGGCAGCAGGCCTACCTGACCATGATGTCCACCAGCACCCCCTCACCCACCCACCATGTGACAGGCTGAGCCCTGCAGACCTCAGCCCTGGTCAGGGTGCAGTCCAAGGGGGTGCAGCTACGCAGAGGCCCCCCTGTCCCAGGAGCAGCCCTCTCCAACCCTCCTCCCTCTTCCAGCCGGCATGAACATGAGCCCTGTCTCCAGGCTGAAGAAGACCTGGGCCAAAGTGAGGACGGCCAAGTTTTTCATCCTCGAGGTAAATGAGGCTGCTGGGCTGCCGGGTGCCTCCGGCCATCCCCTGGACAGAACTGCCCACATGCCTCCCTGTCTCCTTCCAGCACCAGATGGACCCAACGGGGAATTTCTGCAACTACAGGACAGCCCTGCGCGGGGCGGCCCACCGCTCCCTGACGGCCCACAGCAGCCGAGAGAAGGTAGGTCGGGGCCACGTTGGCCCAGGGGGGCTGCAGCAGGGAACCTGGGTGCTGGCTCAGAGTTCACTTGCTGCAGCTCCTGCCCCCTGCAGCATCAGTAATAGACAGCCAGGTCTCCTTGCTTGCGTGCCTCCAGCGTGGGGAACTCACCACCTCCCAAAACCTGAGGGAAGCCAGCCTCAGACAGCTCTGACTGACAGGAAGTGCTTCATGAGGGCCTGAAGCCGGGCTGCCTGGGGTCATCCTTTCTTGGGGGGCCACACGAGTGAGGCCACTTCGTCTTCTGCTCACCAGTTCTTCAGAGCCCCCATGGCCTCTCCTCTCTTCTCCGGAGTCAGCGGCCCCAGACCTGCCCTGCCACACTACAGTTTCCAGGCTCCTCCCCACTTGGGGCCCTTTGGTCCCTAAACAGCTCCATTTGTCAAAATTTCTTCTGTTTCAGATAAAATTGAGGTGCCAGGTACACAGGATCTTCCACCTCCCTGATTCTAAACGTAATACTTTTATTTATGTGGCCTCAGATCACATTTACATTTTTGGCAATCACTGAACCAAGCTTTTTCCTCACCCAAACTCCCTGTTCACAGCTCGTATTTTTTTTTTTTTTTTTTTTTGGAGATGGAGTCTCTCTCTGTCGCCCAGGCTGGAGTGCAGTGGTGCAATCTTGGCTCACTGCAACCTCCACCTCCTGGGTTCAAGCGATTTTCCTGCCTCAGCCTCCCAAGTAGCTGGGATTATAGGCACATGCTACCATGCCCGGCTAATTTTTGTATTTTTAGTAGAGGCGGAGTTTCACCATATTGGCCAGGATGGTCTTAAACTCCTGACCTCAGGTGATTTCCCTGCCTCGACCTCCCAAAGTGCTGGGATTACATGCGTGAGCCACTGCGCCCAGCCACAGCCTGTATTCTTATATCCCTGCATTTGTGGAGCCTCTGCGGACCTGATCAATTTTATTTTTCCTCCAAATTCTACTCATGGCATGTGGTACAGAGAGTCATGCACAGGCTCTGGGATTGCAATGATCCTCTGGCTTGAAACCTGTTACCATCCTGATGATTAGAGTTGTTCATCTCTATGGAGAGGAAACTCCAAGACTTGTTGTACCTTTGAAGGCCCGTGCCATGCGGGAACATTGGTGGGATCAGGTCCCTGCTGTGGTGCATGCATGTCTGTCTCCAGCTTGAGGATAATAGAACACATCGCTGGTGTTGGAATGCAGGTGCCCCTGGAATTGCACTGGAGGGAAGCCAGTGGGCAGGTTTGGGAAGCAAGCTGAGGTGTGCACGCTTGTGCCACCTGCCGGGCCTTCTTGGCCCTCCACCCAAGGGGCAGACACCGGCCACACGGATGGCTCTGTCCTGTCCAGCTGGCCTTTCCTGTTCAGGCTGTGAGTGTGTCAGTGACTCTGGGTCCCAGGCAGGGGTCTGCTGCAGAGGGGAGCAGCACCCAGGGATGCGAGACCTCAAATCCCAGGGCAGGTGGCGGCCTGCCAGGAGCCGGAGCCCGGGAAGCCAGACAGCAGGGGTAGGAACCTCATGTCACTGAGCACCTGCCTCATTCCAGCCACTTGGCCTCCATACCCCAACTGAATTCTGACAACGACTCTATGGGGGCATCAGCATTGCCAATTCCCAGATCAGCAGACTGAGTCTCGGGCGGGAGACCTCACTAGTCCACTCACACTGCAGGTAGGTGGCGGAGCCAGGATCACACTCCAGCCTGTCTGGCTCTGAAGCTCGTGGTCTGCACACCGCCAGGCTGACTCCTGTTCCCAGGCAGTGGGTGTGTGTGGTGTTCGCAGGGCACTGGCTACAGGCCTAGGTTGGATGCAGAGTCGGTGTACAGGAGCTTGGTGCCGAGCTGGGCTGGGAGCCGTCAGCCATGGCCTGGGCGCTCCGCACTACTTCCTTCATCTCCGCTGGGACACGGGGGCTGTGGGGCAGGTAGACAGACTGGGATTCGGATGCCTGTGTTCTGAGCCCCTTCCAGCTCTGGGTGCTGGGATGCTGTGCATTGGTGCTGTAGGCGGGCGGCTTACAGCTGCGTATTGACTTTAACCGCATTGTCCTCTAACTTCCAGAGAGAGGCGGGTCTTGGGCTAGGCCCACAAAAGCTGCTTTATGGATGGAGAGGGGTGGAGGGGCAGAGGGAGGGAAGGAAGGAGGAAGGAGAAAGGGATACTTAGAGTGGTGCTCACAGCTTCCTGGTGCCCCAGCTGAGTTGATGGGGCTGGGAGATCTCGGTGGTCGTAGCACTTTACGCTTCCTTCCTGTCTGTGGGCGGCAACTGCCCCTCTCCCAGTCTGTGTCACAGGGCCCACTTATCCGGGTGACCTCCAAGCTGACCGGGGCTGTAATTAAACTTCTCATGTCAGAAGCAAGGGCAGTGGATTTGCAGATACAAAGGCCTGTTTGGCTGCTGCGAGGGCAGGGAGACCAGGTCAGACATGGGGGGTGGCCTTGAGTGGCGTGGCCATGGCGGAAGGGGTGAGAAGTGCTCACGTATGGGACGCGCCACCTCTTGAGGACCAGCTCAATGCCACTGCCTCCAGGAAGCCCAGACCAGGCCCCAGAGGAGCCTCCTCTGTGTGCGGAGTCCCACATTCCTTAAACCCCCTCCCTGTCTTGGTGCGTCTCCCTGTTCCAACACAGTTCGGCTGTCCAGAACCTGCACTAGGACTGGGGACTCAGCACCACTGAGGGAGGGCACAGACACAGACCACCCCCACAATCCCCCCCCACCACTGATCCCGGCACAGTGAGGAAGAGGTAGGACGGGGCACTAGGGCAGAGCCACCTGGGACTCAGCCCTGCTTCCGCTGCTCACTGCTGTGTGAGCTTATGCAAGGTATTTAACCTCTCTGGGCCTCAGCTTCCTCATGTATAAATGGGGTCATGAGAGCCCTGCTTCACAGGACCATGTAAAGATGGAAAGTAACCCTGTATATAGCCCAGCAGTGAGGCACGCAGGCTTGATAAAGGCATAAGTAGCGGGCTCTGTGGGAGCACAGATGGAGACTAAACCCAGCCGGCAGTGGGGAGTTGGGATTAGCAAAGATTTGCCAGATGAGGCCTCCTCATTTTGTAGGTTACTCCTACAACTGTGTCTCCCACTACAATGAGGTCAGGAGTGAAGAGTCTGGGGGGGCCTGCACGCAGCCCGCAGCCCTTCACAGGCGGGGTCCGTGAGCCTTTCTTTTCCTTCAGGCAGTGGAGCAAGAATTGCTTTTGGTCTAACAGTAAGTGCATCGGGATCAGATCTTAGCATCAAGAAAGACAGAGGGGGACAAATTGTTAAATTTTTTTTTTTTTTTTTAAAAAGGAGGCCACCTTGGGAGGCCGAGGCGAGCAGATCACAAGGTCAGGAGTTCAATACCAGCCTGGCCAACATGGTGAAACCCCCGTCTCTACTAAAAATACAAAAACTAGCCGGGCGTGGCAGCAGGTGCCTGTAATCCCAGCTACTCGGGAGGCTGAAGCAGGAGAATCACTTGAACCTGGGAGGCGGAGCTTGCAGTGAGCTGAGATCACGCCATTGCACTCCAGCCTGGGTGACAGAGTGAGACTCCTCTCAAAAAAAAAAGGAGGCCACCAAATTTCAGAATAGTTGATGCACATCTATTCCATGTGTCTTCAACAGTGTGTTCAGCAGGGACTGCACCTCCCGGTGCCCACAAGCCTGTGGACCTTTGGATGGGGATGGGGGTAGTGGAGACCTACCAGCCCCTCCCAGAAGGCAGTGGAAGGAATATTCAAGGGTCATCGTGACTGTGCATCTCTTACCCAGCCCCAGGACGGGCGGTGGCACCACGGCGCTCTGCAGGGTGATGCGCGCCTGCTCCTTTCTTTGGGGTCCTTATTGCCCTCCATGGTGCACAGGAATTCACCTCGTAACCCGTGAAGTCCCAAGGCCCCGGCTAGCCCAGGAAGTCTCCCCTGCCCTCTGCACCCTGGGGTCGGGTCTGAGGTCCCTGGGGCAGCTATCTGCTGGCAAGGCTGCCCCCCGTCCTGGAGCCCGCTGTGTGGAGGGCCGGCTGGGGCCGACCTGCCCCCTCTTTCTTCCAGATTGTCATTCCTTTCTTCAGCCTGCTCATCAAAGACATCTACTTCCTGAATGAGGGCTGCGCCAACCGCCTTCCCAATGGACACGTCAACTTTGAGGTAGGACCTCCGTGTGGACCGCCACTGAGGTAGACAGGCCGGGAAAAGTTCCCAGGGCAGGACCACTGGCCCTTGGACACCCAGCCTCATGGGGGACCCTGGGGCAGAATGAGCAGTTCACAGCCGACCTTGGCAAGGTTATCAGGGTCCTCCCACCCTGACATCCACTGCAGTGGAGATGCTGAGGCTCAGGGTCATGTCCATCCAGGCTGCGCCGCACGGCCAGCACAGGTGAAGCAGGGTCCATCTGAGCCCTTGAGGAGCACCAGGCTGGCGAGAAAGGCAGCTCCGTGGGCCCACAGTGACAACCAGCAAGGTGCTGTGACAGGGGCTGTGCCCTGGGGGTCAGGACCAGCCCAAAGGCGGAGCCTTGAGTAGCAGGAGGACGCTATCAGGCCGAGGCCAGAGTGAACAGAAAAGAAAGAATTCTGCTCCCTCTGTAGACACTCACCACTCTCAGCTCAAGTGTCTCCTCCTCCAGGAAGCCCCCCTGGACCTGCCAGGCAGAGAGAGCCCACCTGTCAGGCCTCCCAAAGCACAGCAGGCTGGGCATCCCTCCATCCATCCTCGATCCCTCCATCTATCCTCGATCCCTCCATCCATCCTCGGTCCCTCCATCCATCCTCGGTCCCTCCATCCATCCTCGGTCCCTCCATCCATCCCCAATCCCTCCGTCCATCCCCGGTCCCTCCGTCCATCCCCGGTCCCTCCGTCCAGCCCGGATCCCTCCATCCATCCCCGATCCCTCCGTCCATCCCCGATCCCTCCATCCATCCCCGGTCCCTCCGTCCATCCCCGGTCACTCCGTCCATCCCCGGATCCCTCCGTCCATCCCCGATCCCTCCGTCCATCCCCGATCCCTCCGTCCATCCCCGGTCCCTCCGTCCATCCCGGATCCCTCCGTCCATCCCCGGTCCCTCCGTCCATCCCCGATCCCTCCGTCCATCCCCGGTCCCTCCGTCCATCCCCGGTCACTCCGTCCATCCCCGGTCCCTCCGTCCATCCCGGATCCCTCCATCCATCCCCGATCCCTCCGTCCATCCCCGGTCCCTCCGTCCATCCCCGGTCCCTCCGTCCATCCCGGATCCCTCAGTCCATCCCCGGTCCCTCCGTCCATCCCCGGTCCCTCCGTCCATCCCCGGTCCCTCCGTCCATCCTGGATCCCTCCGTCCATCCTCGGTCCCTCCGTCCATCCTCGGTCCCTCCGTCCATCCCCTGTCCCTCCGTCCATCCCCGGTCCCTCTGTCCATCCTGGATCCCTCCGTCCATCCCCGGTCCCTCCGTCCAGCCCAGATCCCTCCATCCATCCTCGATCCCTCCGTCCATCCCCGGTCCCTCCGTCCATCCCCAGTCCCTCTGTCCATCCCCGGTCCCTCCGTCCAGCCCGGATCCCTCCGTCCATCCCCGGTCCCTCCGTCCATCCCCGGTCCCTCCGTCCAGCCCGGATCCCTCCGTCCATCCCCGGTCCCTCCGTCCATCCCCGGTCCCTCCGTCCATCCCCGGTCCCTCCGTCCATCCCGGATCCCTCTGTCCATCCACGGTCCCTCCGTCCATCCCCGGTCCCTCCGTCCATCCTCGGTCCCTCCGTCCATCCTTGGTCCCTCCATCCATCCTCAGTCACTGCACCCGAGTCCCTGAGCTCCTGAGAAGAAAGGCCAGGCTGACCCGCTCCGTATCCTGACCTCCAAAAGGGCCCACCCAGCACACGTGTCTCGGCGTAGCTGTGAGCTAGGCAGACACTGAGTCAGACAGAGCATGCCATGCAGCAGCTGGACCCCGAGTCTGTAGGAAGGAGGGGGCTCTTCTCCCACTGAGAGCCAGCCCCACCCTAGCGTTGGCCTTAGCAGTGGGTGACACAGTGGGTGCGAGGCCCCACCCAGCTTCCAACTCCAAGGAGCCGTAAGTCCTGGGCCAGTCACCAGTCACTGCTCTGTCTGAGCCTCAGTCTCTCCCTGTGTAAGATGGGTCTTCATCTATAGCCCAGAGAGGGGCTGGGGGTAGAGGTGCAGCATGGCCTCCGTGGGCTGTGAGTGTCCCCTGCAGCTGGGAACCACAGCACATGGCCAGACGCTTGGGCCTGGAGCTGCCCTCCTCACAGACACCCCAGCAGACCGTCACATGCTACCCACAGGCCTTGTTAGAGGGTCCCAGGCTGCCTCACCTGTTTGTTAGGTTAGCCCAGGCTGGAGGTGATGTGGACAAGATGGGACTTAGGCAAGACACTGCAGGGGCCCAGGGAACTGGGATCCTCCTCCGCAGGTGACACCAGCCCAGAGCCAGGCGTGGGAACCCCCTGCCTTAGCCCTTCCTGAATTGATCCTCAGAGCTGAGGCCAGGGACAGGTAAGACTACAAGGTGCTTGTGTGGTCCCAGCTTTGGGGAGCAAGCAGAAGGGACTGGACCTGGCTTCCAGGGCAGATCAAAGGGTGTCGTGGAGCGGGGGTCCCTGCCATTCACAACTGTGCACTGCTCTTTATTTAAAGTTGGCACCTTTTTTAAAAATTAAATACATGTGTTTACATTTTACTTAAATAAAATCACACTTAAATGAATTACTTAAGTCTTACTTAAATATACCTATTTAAATATATTTGCATAATTACATAAATCAACAAACATGTATCACTTGCCATACATAGAGGATAACAACAAAGTAAATACAATGACATAAAACCAGGCCCACTCTTGCTCCACACAGGCTGCAGGCCAGGACTGCTCTCGCCCTCATTTATCGCCCCCTGCTCCTCCTCAGAGCCCTAAAGCCACTGGGTGTTGAGAGGGTCTCTGCCAGGACCAGCCCCTCCCCCTCATGGGGACCTCCAGGCACTGGAGTGCCTCCATTCTGTGTCTCTGTGACCCTGGCAGAAATTCCTGGAGCTGGCCAAGCAGGTGGGGGAGTTCATCACCTGGAAACAAGTGGAGTGTCCCTTCGAGCAAGACGCCAGCATCACCCACTACCTGTACACCGCCCCCATCTTCAGTGAGGATGGTAAGGTAGCCCTGCAGCCCTCCTGCCTACTGGGCCACGGAACTCTGGGGTAGCCTCTCAGTCACCATTCAGGACCCCTGCTCTGAGTAGGTTAGGGATGCACCCTGCCCACCTGGGCTGGCTCCGGGAGGGAACAAGGAGGGCTCCATCCCCCTGGCTGGCCCATTGCCACTCCAGGAGTACAGGATGGGCCTGAGGAGGTCCAAGCTGGGGCCTCAAGGACCCCCGGGGCCAGGCTCCTCCCCGGACACAGTTTGGACACCTTTAGAATTCTAAATCAGAACCATCTACCTGTCTGGCTCACTTTCCTCAGTAAAGTGGGGATGATGATAAGAATCACCCTCGCCAGGCACAGTGACTCACGCCTATAATCCCGGCACTTTGGGAGGCAGAGGCAGGCAGATCAGAAGATCAAGAGTTTGAGACCAGCCTAACCAACATGTTGAAACCCCGTCTCTACTAAAAGTACAAAAATTAGCCGGGCGTTGTAGTGCCTACCTGTAATCCCAGCTACTCAGGAGGCTGAGGCAGCAGAATCACTTGAACCCGGGAGGCAGAGGTTGCAGTGAGCCGAGATCGCACCACTGCACTCCATCCTGGGTGACAGAGCAAGACTTCGTCTCAAAAAAAGAAAAAAAAAATCACCTTCCCAGAGCTTACGTGGGGAGTGCCAAGCACAGCACTGACTGTGTAGGCGTGTACGTGTGTGCAGGTGTAACAGACACAGGCACGAGGTGAGGCCTCTGCTGCAGTGCCATTCATTTCTGTCCTCTCCACTAAATAAGCATTTCCATATGATCATTTGTCAGATGTAGGTTTGCTTGCAAGCGTGCTAAGGGGGCAGGTCCCGGGGCCCTCTGCTTTCAGGAAGCAGAAGTGGTAGAGAAGCAAGTGGCCCTGTGGGCTTGAGCTGGGGTGGAATGGCCCCGCGGCCCCACATCACCCTGAGAGGGCCTGCTCAGGACGCAGAAGACCTGGCTTCTCATCACAGCAAGCATGTCACAGAGGGACCCACACTTAGGCTCAGTGGGCACTTTTACTTTCTCCAAAAAAAAAAAAAAAAAGGGAGAAGGATCTTTTAATGATTTTGCTTTTGAATACTTTCAACTTTGCCATTTTATTGTTTATATTTTGAAGCTGGGAACTTTTTGGAGGGGCTTTCACCCCTATCTGTAGCCACCTCCCTGCAATGCCACTAAGAAGCCGAGCAGCTGATGAATAAACCTGTCTGAGCCGCTCCCACCCCAGCGAGCTGTGCGATGAGCAGGACTCATCGTCTCTAAGCCTCTCCTGCAGTATCTGGAAAGCGGGGTGATGTGAGAACCTGCTCCCCAGGGCCCCGGGGAGAATGCCTGGAGCTGCCCAGGCGAAGTCCACACAATTACCCTCAATCCACACTAGTGCGTGAGTTTCCTGTTGGTGCTGTCACAAATCACCACAAGCTTGGTGGCTCAAAACAACACAGATTTATCCTTACACACTTCTGGAGAGCAGAGGGCTGAAATGAGTTTCCTTATACACTTCTGGAGAGCAGAGGGCTGAAATGAGTTTCCTTATACACTTCTGGAGACCAGAGGGCCGAAATGAGTTTCTCTGGGCTAAAATCAAGCTGTCAGCAGGGCTGGTTTCTTCTGGAGGCCCTGAGAGGAGAATCTATTTCCTGGCCTTTTCAACTTCTAATGGCCACCTGTATTCCTTGGCTGTGGCCCCTTCCTTCATCTTCCAAGTGCATCACTCCAATCTCTCCTTCCATCATCACATCATCTTCTCTCCACCTTAGTCAAATCTCCCTTTGCCGTCCTCTTATAAGGACACCTGTGATTGCATTTAGGGCCCCCACATATAATCCAAGATATTCTCCACATCTCCAGATCCTTCATTTAATCATGTCTGTAAGGTTCCTTTTTGCCATAGAAGGTAACATTCAAAGGTCCTGGGATTAGAACCTGGATACCTCTGGGACCATTATTCAACCTAATTATTATTATTATTTTTTTTTGAGACGGAGTCTCGCTCTGTCACCCAGGCTGGAGTGCAGTGGCGCAATCTCGGCTCACTGCAAGCTCCGCCTCCCGGGTTCACGACATTCTCCTGCCTCAGCCTCCCGAGTAGCTGGGACTACAGGCACCCACCACCACGCCCGGCTAATTTTTTTTGTATTTTTAGTAGAGACGGGGTTTCACCATGTTAGCCAGGATGGTCTCAATCTCCTGACCTCATGATCCACCCGCCTCAGCCTCCCAAAGTGCTGGGATTACAGGCGTGAGCCACCACGCCTGGCCCTACTACCCTAATTATTATGATGATTGTTGTCATTAGCCAGTGACCTCTTCATGGAACTTGGGCATTAAGATGAGTTAAAGACACATGAGGAGAGGCATAGAGGAGTCTCAGGGCAGAGAGGGAGAAAAGGGGGGCATTTTATTTACTCCTTTAGTCAACCATATGTCTTCAGAGACTGCTGTGTGCCAGGCAACAATCTAGCAGTTAACACAGACAAAACTGTGGCCCTCCTGGAGCCCCGTTAGAGAGGGGCATCTTCCATTTTTACTGTCTCTTCCTTCTGTCCCTCCCACAACCCCAAAAAAGTGGAGGGAAGTAAGGTAAGAGACCTAGGATGTACTGAGCCCCAGCTGGGTCACTTACAGCCTCTGACAAAAACCTGGCCCTGACCTCAGCTCCAGGCTTCCCTGGCAGGGCCCACCTGGCAATTAGTCAGACTTGAATCTCCTTGAAGCAAATGAAAATATAGAAAGTCTCAGCAAAGAAACAGAAGATATAATAAGGAAGAGCCAATGGGAGTTTTAGAACTGAAAAATACAATAACTGAGATGGAAAACTGAGTGAATGGGCTTAACAGCAGAATAAAGAAGGCAGAGGAAAAAAATCTATGAACTGGAAGATGGAACAATAGAAATTATACAATCTGAACAACAGGGAGAAAATAGACTGAAACGGCTGGGCGCGGTGGCTCGTGCTTGTAATCCCAGCACTTTGGGAGGCTGAGGCAGGCAGATCATGAGGTCAGGAGATCGAGACCATCCTGGCTAACACGGTGAAACCCCATCTCTACTAAAAATACAAAAAATTAGCCAAGCGTGGTGTCGGGCACCTGTAGTCCCAACTACTTGGGAGGCTGAGGGAAGACAATCACTTGAACCAAAGAGGTGGAGGTTACAGTGAGCCGAGATCGCACCACTGCACTCCAGCCTAGGCCATGGAGTGAGACTCTGTCTCAAAAAAAAAAAAAAAGAAAGAAAGAAAATAGACTGAAACATATTTTCAGGGACCTGTGGGATTATAACCAAAGATCCCACACTCATGTCATCACAGTCTGTGGAGGAGAGGAAAAAGAGGGCAGGACTGAAAAAGTACTCAAAGAAATAATGGCTAGAAAGTTCCCAGAGTTGGAAAAAACATAAACCTACAGATTCAAGAAGCTGAATGATCCCCAAAAGGAAAAACTAAAGAAACCCCTACCAAGACCCATTGTAGTCAAACTTCTGAAAACTGAAGGAAAAGAAACAAATCTTGAAGCCAAGTGCAGTGGCTCATACCTGTAATCTCAGCACTTTGGGAGGCTGAGGCAGGTGGTTTGGTTGAGGCCAGGAATTCGAGACCAGCCTGACCAACCAGCCTGACCAACATGGCGAAACCTCGTCTCTACTACAAATACAAAATTTAGCCAGCTGTGGTGGCACATGCCTATAATCCCAGCTACTTGGGTGGCTGAGGCACAAGAATTGCTTTAACCTGGAAGGCAAAGATTGCAGTGAGCCAAGATTGTGCCACTGCACTCCAGCCTGGGTGACAGAGCAAGACTCTGTCTCAAAGAAAAAAAATAATTAAAAAATAAATTTTTTTTTAAATATTAAAAACACTGAGAGAGAAATGACACTTTACCCATAGGGGGAAAACACTCTGAATCATGTCAAATTTCTCATCAGAAACCAAGAGGCCAGAAGACAGTGGCACATTTTTCAATTGCCAAAAGAACTGTCAAGCCAGAATCCTATATACGGTGAAAACATCCTTCAGGAATTAACTATAGATAAATCAAAATAGAATTCTAAAAGCTGTTCAGGTAAACCACAGGAAGACAAGAAAAATAAAACAGAGAACAAAACACAGAACAAAAAGAAAACAAAAAAATAGACAAAAAGGCAGACTTAAGTCCTAACATACTAATAATTACATTAAATGTAAATGGTCTAAATACACCAAGTAAAAGAAATTGACAAAGTCGATTTTTTAAAATGATCCAACTATAGGCTATCTACAAGAAACTCACTTCACTATAATGATAGAGACATTTTGATAAGTAAAAAAAGAAGAAAAGATATAGCATGCTAATATTAATTAGAGGAAAGCAAGAGTAGCAATATTAATTTCAGATAAAGCACACTTTAGGAGAAAGAAAATTACCAGAAACAAAGAAGGACATTATACAGTAATAATAGGGTCAGTCCCCCAAGATATAGCAATCCTAACTATGTATCCACCAAACATCAGAGCTACAAAATTCATTAAGCAAAAGCTGATCAAACTGAAAGGAGAAATAACTAATCTACAATTACAATTGAAGATGTCAACACCCTTCTCTGAACAATTGATAGAACAACTAGACAGAAAATCAGCAAAGACAAAGAACTCAACAATATCATCAAACAACAGGAATCTAATCAACATTTACAGAACACTCCATACAAGTGCAGTAGAACACACATTTTTTAAAATTGCCCCCAGAATATAGACCAAAATATACCATCTCCTGAGCCATAAAACAAGCTGAAACAAATTGAAAGTAACTGAAATCATAACACACTATGTTCTTCAACCACAGTGGGATTAAATTATAATCGGTAGCATCAGACAACAGAAAACTCTTGAAACATTTAGAAATTAAATGACACACTTGTAAATAATCCATGGGTCAAAGAGGCTCATGGAAAATTTAAAAAATAATTGAACTGACTGAAAATACAATCAAATTTGTAGGACAGCTAAAGCAGGACTCAGAGGAAATCTTATAGCACCAAATGCATACATTAGAAAAAAGGGGAAGTGTCAAATCAATAATCTAAGTTCCTACATCAAGAATCTAGAAAAAGAGGAGCAAAATAAACTCAAAGCCAGCAGCAGGATGGAAATAAGAGCAGAAATCAATGAACCCGTAAGCAGAAAAACAATAAAGTTAATCAAAGGGCTGGTTCTTTGAAAAGAACAATAAAATTGCTGCCATCTAGCAAAGAACCTCTTGACAAAGAAAAGGAAAAGACACAAATTACTGATACAGTAGTCCCCCCTTATCTGTAGTTACCCTCAGTCAACCGTGGTCTGAACATACTAAATGGAAAATTCCAGAAATAATTCATAAGTTTTGAATTGTGCACCATTCTGAGTAGTGTGATGAAATCACACGTCATCCCACTGGGTTCCTCCTGGGACATGATTCATCCCTTTGCCCGGCATTTGTGCTGTGTTTATGCTGCCTATCAGTCACTTAGTGGCCACCTCAGCTATCAGATCAACTGTCAGTGTCACTGTGCTTGTGTCCAGGTAACCCTCATTTTACTTCTTTTTTTTTTTGAGACAGAGTCTCGCTCTGTCACCCAGGCTGGAGTGCAGTGGCACGATCTCGGCTCACTGCAGCCTCTGCCTCCCAGGTTCAAGCGATTCTCCTCCCTCAGCCACCCAAGTCACTGGGATTACAGGCGTGAGCCACCACGCCCAGCTAATTTTTGTATTTTTAGTAGAGACGGGGTTTCACCATGTTGGTCAGGCTGGTCTCGAACTCCTGACCTCAAGTGATCCACCAGCCTCAGCCTCCCAAAGTGCTAGGATTACAGGTGTGAGCCACCGCGCCCAGCCTATTTTACTTCTTTTTTTTTTTTTGAGACAGAGTCTTGCTCTGTCACCCAGGATGGAGTGCAGTGGCGCAGTCGCGGCTCACTGCAACCTCCGCCTCCCGGGTTCACACCATTCTCCTGCCTCAGCCTCCCGAGTAGCTGGGACTACAGGCGCCCGCCACCACACTTGGCTAATTTTTTGTATTTTTAGTAGAGACGGGGTTTCACCGTGTTAGCCAGGATGGTCTCCATCTCCTGACCTCGTGATCTGCCCACCTCCGCCTCCCAAAGTGCTGGGATGACAGGCGTGAGCCACCGCGCCTGGCAAAGTACCTGAGCAGTGATGCAGGCAGTTCAGATATGGCAAAGGGAAGCTGTAAAGTGCTTCCGTTAAATGATGAGGTGAAAGTTCTCAAGGGAAAAAATTGTATGCTGAGATTACTAAGATCTACAGTAAGAACAAACTTATCCATGAAATTCTGAAGAAAGAAAAATAAATTCTTGCTAGTTTTGCTGTTGCATCTCAAACTGCAGAAGTGCCTGATGAGTGCTTAGTTAAGATGGAAAAGGGATCCAAGACAAGTATATACAGGATTCCGTACTATCTGCAGTTTCAGGCAGCCACCAGGGGACTTAGAATGTATCCCCCACAGATAATAGGGGACTACTGTACCAGGAGTAAAACAGGATATCACTAACGACTACAGACATTGAAAAGATAATAAGGGAATACGACAAACAACTCCACACACACGAATTTAACAATTTAAATGAAATGAACTAATTCCTTAAAAAGCACAAATTACCACAACTTGACATAAAATAGATAATTTGAATAGCCCTGTGACTATTAAATAAATTGAATTTATAATTTTAAAACTCCCAAAAATGAAGTCTACAGGCTCAAATGGTTACACTGGAGACTTCTACCAAATGCTTAAAGAATTAACACCAATTCTCCACAATCTCTTCCAGAAAGTGGCAGAGGAGGGAGCCTCCTGATGAAGCCAGTTGTCTTAGTCAGTTTGAGCTGCCGTAACAAAATACCTTAGACTGGGTAATTCATAAACAACAGACATTTTCTTACCACTGAGTTTATATATATATATCTACAGTTTCAGAGGCCAGAAATCCAAGATCAAGGCAGATTCTGTGTCTGGTGAGGGCTGCTCTCTGCTTCTAAGGTGGAGCCTTCTTGCTGTGTCCTCGCATGGCAGAAGGGGCAAATGCTGTGTCCTCATTTGGCAGATGGGCAAAAAGGGGCCAGACTGGCTCCCTCCAGCCCTTTCATAAGGGCACTAATCCCATCCATGAGGGTGGAACCTCATGGCCTAATCGCCTCCTCCAGACCCCACCTGTTAGTTAACACTGTTGCATTCGGGATTATGTTTCAACATGAATTTTTCAGGGCACAAACATTCAAACCCTGGCACCAGTATTACCCTGATACTAAAACCAAAGACAGTACCAAAAAAAGAAAATACAGGCCAATATCCCTCATGAATATAGACACAAGAATCCTTAACAAAATAAGCAAATAGAGTTCAGCAATATGTAAAAATAATTATACGTCATGACTAAGTGGGTTCATTCCAAGGATGCAAAGCTGTTCAATATTTGAAATTCAATCAGTGTGATTCACTATACTAAACAGCTAAAGAAGAAAAGACACATGATTATATTAATCAATGCAGAAAAGGCATTTGACAAATTTCTACACGCATTTATGGTAAAAACTCTCAGAAACTAGTAATAGAAGGGAATTTATCAGCATGACAAGTTGCATCCACAGAAACGCTTCTGCAAACATTATATTTAACAGCAGAAGATTTAATGCTTTCCTCGTAAGACCAATAACAATGAAAGGATGTTCACTCTTCCCCACTCTTAGTCATCATAGTAATGGAAGAACTAGTTAGTGCGATAAGGCAAGAACAGGAAGTAACACACAAATCAGAAAGAAAAATTAACACTGTCCCTATTTGCAGATGATGAGGAAAAAAAATCCCAAAGAATCTACAAAAACCCCTAGAACTAATAAGGGAGTTCAGCAAGGTTGCAGGATACAAGACACACATGCAAAAATCAACCATGTTTCTACGTATGAGCAATAAACATGTGCACGCTGAAACTAAAATGATAATACCATTTACAGTCACTCACATGAAATATGTAGGTGGAAATGGAACAGAACACGCACAGGACGTGTACGCTAAAAGTTAATGCTGATGTGCCGGGTGCGGTGGCTCACGCCTGTAATCTCAGCACTCTGGGAGGCCGAGGCGGGCGGATCACAAGGTCAGGAGATCGAGACCATCCTGGCTAACACGGTGAAACCCCATCTCTACTAAAAATACAAAACATTAGCCGGGCGTGGTGGTGGGTACCTGTAGTCCCAGCCACTCGGGAGGGTGAGGCAGGAGAATGGTGTGAACCCGGGAGGCAGAGCTTGCAGTGAGCCGAGATCGCGCCACTGCACTCCAGCCTGGGCGACAGAGCGAGACTTCTGTCTCAAAAAAAAGTTAATGCTGATGAAAGAAATCAAGAAAGATGTAGATAAATGGAGACATAGGATGTTCTCGAACGCAAAGACTGCATAGCAAAGGTATTAATTCTCCTCCCAGAATTTAAGTACAGGTTTAATGCAATTCCTACCCAAATCCCAGCAAGACTCTTTGTAAGATAGAGACGAGATTCTCCTAAAATTTGTATCGGAAGTCAAAGGAACTAGAATTGCTAAAACAATCTTGAAAAGGATTCGTGGGAGGAATGAGTCTGCTTGATGTTAAGGCTGATATGATAGCGCTATGGTCGTTAAGACAGCACAGTATTAGGGGAGGGATGGACGCATGAATCAATGGGACAGAATAGAGAACCCAGAAAGAGACCCACGCAAATATACCAGGTGATTTTTGACAAAAACAAAACAAAACAAAACAAAACCCAATGGAGGAAAGCTAGCCCTCCAACAAACAGTGCCGGAGCATCCGGACATCCACAGACCAAAACATGAACCCCAGCCCAAGCCTCACACCTTATACAAATAATTAGCTCAGCATGGATCACAGACTAAAATGTAAAATGTAAACCTATACAGCTTTTAGCAGGGAAAAGCAAGAGATAACCCTCAGAATATAGGGCTAGATAAAGAGTTTCTTATTCCAAATATGCCACTATGATATGGCCCAGCCATTGCATTCTTGGGCAGTTAGTTATTCCAGAGAAATAAAGACTCATGTATTTATACATCATTTGAAGTGAGTTTCACACAAAAGCAAAAGCCCTCACGCAAATGTTATAGAACTACTGTCGTTAAGACAGCACAGTATTAGGGGAGGGATGGACACATGGATCAATGGGACAGAATAGAGAACCCAGAAAGAGACCCACGCAGATATAGCAGGTGTAGAACAGGTTATTATCATCAACCATAATTGTGAAATTTCACTTCATTTTCTGTCTAGGTCTTTATTTGGCTTCTTACGAAAGTGAGAGCCCAGAGAACCAAACAGAAAAAGAAAGATGGAAAGCTCTAAGGTGAGTCTTCCTGCCAAGGTGGGGCCTGGGGGCTGCTTGGGATGGAAAGCTCTAAGGTGAGTCTTCGCGCCGAGGTGGGACCCGGGGACTGCTTGGGACCAGGACAGGGCCGAGGGGCTTCAGAGATACCCGGCTCACCAGCCTCCTGGGAGCCTCAGCAGCCCACAGTGGGGATCAAGCCACAGTCATAGGGGTGAGGAGAGGAGGCTGAGCCTGTGACTCCCCCACGGCTGGTGGCTGCCTCTGTGTGCAGTCAAGATGCATGTCCCAGGGACAGGGACTCCCAGTCTATATTTGTATGCCAGACAGTGGGACACACACCCCACCTCCTTCTTGCTCGGCGTGTTAACACGTCCAAGTGGCGGTCGGAAATGATCCATAGCAATGGACTTCGAGGGCTGAGCCCCAGGGATTTGCAGAACACCCCTCTGGGGCAGGAGGCTGGCTCTCCTCAGCGCACTGAGAAAGTGGCTGTGCTGGAGAGCAGTCTAACTGGGGTGGGGAGCTCCAGGCTCTCACCGCTCCCGACATGCTTAAATCTGCAGATCTTCTATTTTGGGGAAGACATGAAAGCGCTGAGCTGAGGGACGAGGAAGAGCTGGAGCCCGCAGAAGCCGTCCACAGCCCTGCCTCAGTGGCCCAGTGGGCAGAGGCCAGGGAGTGCCTCACTATTTTGCAAATGCCGACCCTGTGGCCTGCTGCCCGCCCCCCCCCCCCCCACAGTGGCCATACGGGCACAGGAGACCTTTTATGGGACTTTGGCCCTGGCAGGACCCAGGGCCTCCAGACGTGCGGGCGGCACATGCCTTGGGGACATCCTGCCTTCAGGACCGTGGGGCCTGGTCAGTCTGTCCATCCTCGGCAAGGACACAACACTGCCCCAGAGGGTGGGACCACTGCAAGCTCGAGACCTTGCTTGGTGACATGTGCCACTTTGGCCACCACCCACAGTCTGTCACCACGTGGCTTGGGAACTTCTGGAGCCACAGCAGGCATCACGGTGCGACGTGAGATGCCTGCGCCAGCCCCGAGCCCACTGGCAGCCACTGCCATTCCACCCATGGTCCCTCACCCTGCCCTGCCGACGAGCTTGTCTCTGCAGCCCCAGGTACCCCCTTCCTGGATGCTGCTGGCCCCAGGAGATAGCTTTCCGGTGACAGCTGTGGAACGCGTCAACAGGACAAACTGGACACATGGAGTTACAGTGTGTACACGGCAGTCCCGCCACCCAGCCCCCTTGTAAACTCTAGTCACTATAAACACACCCGTACGCCTATCCATGTCCACCCCACGTCCACCCCATGGCAGGTTTTCAACTCAGCCCGGGGACTGCTGTAGCCACAGTTCAGGCATGGGACTGGGTAACTGTTTCCCATCCAGAGACCCCGTGTCGTGCTTACAGAGCCTGGTGCGTGGGGGATGCTCAGTTAACCTTTGGTGAGGGATACCCACAGCCTTGCCTGGTGCCCCTTGTCTAGAGCAGGGCATGAGGAAGCCAACAAAACCCCCTTGGCCCACCAGCAGGCCCCTCCCACAGCCCCACCCTGTCTGTTTCCAGCCCCTCAAAAACTGAGCCAGCAAGCAGTGGGCCGGGGAGCAGCCGAGACCCCACCTGACACGTGACAAGGTCATCTAGCCAGGAAGTCAGGGAGTGCAATTTGTACCCCCTTTGCTGGTCAGGGCCTGCTGGGTGGCGGATGGGTTGAGGAGGGAGCGCTGGGGTGCACTGACCCACCCCTGGCCTGCTCTAGGCCATGTCAGGCCCCTCAGCGGTGGAGTCCCACTCAGTATCAGACTTGGCTGTCCTGGACTTGGGTCCTATCTGGGGAACGGGCAGAGACAGGGCCACCAGCAGCCGGTGCCTCAGCCAACTCAGGGATTCTGCCTGGTGAGCCAGGACCACAGCAAGGCCCCAGAAGGGCCCGGCAGAGGCATGGGGCCTGCACATCGGGGCCAAGCAGAATCTGCCCTGCACCGCCCCAGCCCACCTCTTCCATCTGAGACCCCAGGGACGGCAAGCAGTGTGGAGAGGTGGGGGCAGGGCTCCCGCAGGGCCTGGGCAGAGCCCTGGGGGCCAAACCCCAGGAGTTTGGGGGGTTCCAGGAGCTGGTTAGAGCCATCGTCTCACCCTCATCCCTACCTGGCACCCTCAGTCCCTGGCACCCCTTGGGCAACATGAGAAAAGCCCCCTCCAGAGGTCAGCGGGGATCGTCCCTGCCTCCTGGCCACACCAGTATGCTGTTCCCACTGCCTGACATGCTGTTCCCCACCTTGTCGATCCAGTCAGAGCTGCAGCCTCAGGTGCAGGGCCCATCTCCCAGAAGCCGTTCCTGGCAGCAGCCCCCAGTGGCCCAGCGCAGGATGGGTATCAGGAGGATGGCCAGGTGAAGCTGGGTGCCCCGAGGCTCACCCCAGCAGGGGAGGCTCTGGGGCAGCAGGGAAGGAGGCAGCCCACAGCCAGCCCCGTGGAGAAGGCAGGGCTGGGGGCTCAGGCTGAGCACATTTGTGCCTCAGGATCCTCCAGGGGGCCTTCAACCTGGCTCTGCACCCCTCTGAGCAGCTGCTGTGTGCCAGGCCCTGGTGCAGCCAGAGGGCGTGAGCTCCCTCAGAGGACCCACCCAGACATGGTGTGGCTTCTCCAGGTGCAGCCTCGGAGCCCAGGGAGGCCTTGCTCACAGCCACACGGTCTGCTCCTTGGCTCATGGCCCTTCCCTGCAGAGGCGTCTTTGTCCTCCTGTAGTCCTGGCTCCAGCGTCATGGCCAGCCAGATGGGACGGCCCCCAGGGGCTCCACAGGGCAGGGCCTGTGCCTGTGGGGCAGGTGTCAGCAGCGCAGGTGGTGCCCAGGACTAATGCCTGTGAGCTCGGCGTGGCACCAGGTGATGCGAACCCCTAACACCACTGCGAATCCCTAACACCACTCAGTCGAACCGCAGGCATGAGGCAGGGCCTGGCCATGGGCTCTCCTTCACCGCCTGGGCTTCTTCTCCAGGGAGGGAGCTGGGGTGGCATGGAGCCTGCAGACCGGAAGATTCTTCCCTGACTGGGGCTTGCCTCAGAGGCCCTGGGCCTGGCTGGGGTTCCATATTGATTCATTCTCACATGGGGGACCCCTCGGTTCTCTGAAATCCCTGCCCCCCATCACTGCATCACTGGGCACTGCTGCCCACCCCAAGCAGTTCCTTGGGAAATGGTGTCTTGGTTCTGGCTGCTGTAACAATACCAGAGGCTGGTAATTCATACACAACGGGAATGCGTTGCTCACAGTTCTGAGGGCTGGGAAGTCCAAGATGACGGCACCGGCTGATTCAGTGTCTGGCCCCTCACAGGTAGTGCCGCCTGGGTGCCCTCACACGGAAGGGGGATGCAGCTGCCTCCAGCCCCTCTTATGAGGGCGCTAAGCCCATTCACAAGGGCACCACCCCCATGACTTACCCACTCCCCAAAAGACCCCACCTCTTAATACCCTCACACTGGGGATTCTGCTTCAACATGGGAATGTGGGGGTCACCAGCATTAGACCAGAGCAGGCATCTCCATCGTGGCCAGCAACTTAGCCTGGGAACCCAGCCGCATCCAGCCCTCCGCAAAGTCCATGCAGCCCCCAGAGCAGAACCCCAGATAACCTCAGAGGTGTGAGTAGGGCTGCCCCAGGGACTGTCACAGTCTCTTCCCTAACAACTCAGGAACAGATAAACAAACGCTGACATGGCCCCTCATCCTTCACATCCCTCAGGCAGGCATCAGACCTCAAGCCTCTGCATCTCCCAACCCTGCAGGGCTCCTGAGTGGTTCTCCAGGAGGGGCAACCCCCTCACCCCTTGGAAGTGCCCCCATGTACCCACAGCACCCTCTGAGCAATGCCCTCCCCAGTTTCTAGCTCCCGACCACTGACTCACCCACCCATGGGTCAAGGAGGTGAGCAGCTGGGATCTCAGTCAAGAGCCCCATTTGGGATGTGCCTCAGCTGGAAGCTCATACTTCACACCTGGAAACTCAAACGCTTCCCCGTGACACCGAGCCTCAGGCCAGCACTTCACCTACAGCCTAACAAACCCCGCCAGCTAGGTGCTGTCACCATCCCCCTTGGCAAGTGGGGAACAGAGGCTCAGAAAGGCTAAGCAACTGCTCATGGACAACAGCATGGAGAGGCGGGGACTGCAGGGTCTGTCACCTCCACAGCTCTGCTCCTAACCATGGTGTGGGGCAGAGGGGCTTCTGCTGGCCACCGGGGCTTCCCATAGTCACACTCAAGGTGACATGCATCTTTCCTCTGCTCCTGCCTCCTCCTCTTTTGCAGGTCCCTGAGCCCCCTGTGTCCCCTGGTGTTTCAGGAGGACCCTGCACTGTCTCATTCATGCTCAAGACAAAATCTGCCACAGCCCAGCTCCCCTCCTGCACCTGCCCCGGCCCTCTGCAGGCCCTGCTGGGTAAAGCCATGCCTCATACCCAGCCATAGAGAAAAGCAGGCCTCACTCCCTATCACGCCACCCTCCATCCCCAGGCATCCAGGCCATGTGGCTCATGGCCCACTACACAGAGTCTTCAGTGAAAAGGCACCATTTTAACTCCCCAGGACTCAGGTTGGGGTCCTGGGGCCCTAGGCCAGGAGATGGATCCAATAGGAAAACCTCGAAAGGCCTGACGAGAGGCTCCTCAACCACAGTGGGGCCCTTGCCTGTGGCTGGGCGGGGTGCCTGACACCGTCCTCTTCAGCATCCCACCCTGCGCCTCCAGGTAGGACCGAAGAGATGGGAAGTTTAAGTGGAATGAAGGGATCTAAGGCATAAGCTACCCCCACTACAGACCAACAGACCTTTACCAAGTGGGCAAGCTGACAGCAGTTCAGCAAGGAGGAGACGGAAATCCCACATGTCGGGGCAGAGAGCAATGGCAGGAAAGAGCAGCAGAGGCCAACGGTAAAGAACCCCACAGGACAGACCAAGGAGCTTGACGTTTACCCCAAAGGCTCTAGGGGAGCCAGTGAAGAGTTCTGGGGGTGGCAGTAACATGGTCAGTTTTAAAAAGATCTCTGATCGCTTTTGACCCAACACTTCCACTTTTACAACCTAAACTCAGCGAAAAAACCTGAGACCAGCATAGTATTTGCATAATGGAGATGTCACGAGCGGCCTCCATCATCCTGCTCCTGTACCAGCACGTGGGTTTGCTCCTCAGCCCAGCCCAGCACCTGGAGAGCCCAGTCGAAGGCCCTCAACCAGCAGGAGCCCGAACCCTTTCTTGCAGCCTCAGAGGGAGATGGGTGTGTGCTCCTGGCCCTATGCAGGATGGGCTGACAGCCAGGGGCTTGGTGGGACAATAAGACTAGTGCACCCACTGGGCGCGGTGGCTCACACCTGTAATCCCAGCACTTGGGGAGGCCAAGGCGGGTGGATCACTTGAGGTCAGGAGTTCAAGACCAGCCTGGCCAACATGGTGAAAACTTGTCTCGACTAAAAAATACAAAAAATTAGCTGGGTATGGTGGCGCGTGCCTGTAATCACAGCTACTCAGAAGGCGGAGGTGGGAGAATCACTGGAACCTGGGAGGCGGAGGTTGCAGTGAGCCAAGATTGTGCCGCTGCACTCCAGCCTGGGGACAGAGCAAGATGCCGTCCCAAAAAAAAAGGAAGGAAGGGAGGGAGGGAGGGAGGGAAGGAAGACAGGAAGGAAGGGAGGGAGGGAGGGAAGGAAGACAGGAAGGGAGGAAGGGAGGGAGGGAGGGAGGAAGGGAGGGAGGGAAGGAAGGAGGGAAGGAAGGGAGGAAGACAGGAAGGAAGGGAGGGAGGGAGGGAAGGAAGACAGGAAGGAAGGAAGGAAGACAGGAAGGAAGGGAGGGAGGGAAGGAGGGAAGGAAGGGAGGAAGACAGGAAGGAAGGGAGGGAGGGAGGGAAGGAAGACAGGAAGGGAGGAAGGAAGGAGGGAAGGAAGGAAAGAAGGAAGGAAGACAGCAAGGAAGGGAGGGAAGGAAGGAAGGAAGACTGGTGCCTCATGGGGGCAGAAAGCTTCTCAATGAATTACTCCTATTGCTTTTGTGGACAGTTGCACCCCACTATTTAAATGATTTACCCTTCTGTATGAAAATATAAACGAAGGCCAGGTATGGTAGCTCACACCTGTAATCCCAGCACTTTGGGAGGCCAAGGTGGGTAAATCACTTGAGCCCAGATGTTCGAGACCAACCTGGGCAACATAGACCCCATCTCTACAGAAAATTTAAAAATTAGCCAGGCGTGGTGGTAATGGTACATACCTGTGCTCCCAGTCACTCGGGAAGCTGAGGTGGGAGGATTGCTTGAGCCCAGGAGGTCGAGGCTGCAGTGAGCTATGATTGCGTCACTGCATTCCAGCATGTGTAGCAGAGTAAGACCCTGTCTCAAAAAAAAAGAAAGAAAAGAAACATAAATGAAACACAGCAATTTAGAGCACAGTTTGGTTTAAATCAAGAGCCGTTAGCACTCACATAGACAACCTCTTCATCTAGAACACGTCTTTATAGTTGATCGTTTGATCTTACACATCGAGACCCTTTGCAGGAAACCTGCCAGGAGGCTACTGAAGACCTGGATAAAGGGTCTACGGGTCAACACTCAGAGAGAAGGTAACTGAGCCCTGGAAATTCAGATGTTTAGAGGTTGAAGAAATAAGGAAAATCCATCAAGGGCATTGAGAGTTTCTGGAAGTTAAGAAGGAAACCACGGAAGAGACAGAAGCTGTTAAAGAAAGACTCGAGAAGCAGCAGCCACCCAGCTGTGTCACATGCTGCTGAGAACATCCAATAAGAACCAAGAGCTGGCCTGGGGATTGGGCAATGTGGACATCAATAGTGACCTCAAAAGAAGGAATTTCAGTGAAATGTTGGGGATGAAAGTCTGCCTGAAGATGATTCCAAAGCAGATGGAAAGACCAACTATCCAATGGAAAAATGGGTAAGAAACGGTTCACAGAAGAGGAAATGTACATAGCTCGAACATGTAAAAAGATGCTCACGATGGCCGGGCGTGGTGGCTCACGCCTGTAATCCCAGCACTTTGGGAGGCCGAGATGGGTGGATCACGAGGTCAGGAGATCAAGACCATCCTGGCTAACACAGTGAAACCCCGTCTCTACTAAAAATACAAAAAATTAGCTGGGCGTGGTGGCAGGTGCCTGTAGTCCCAGCTACTTGGGAGGCTGAGACAGGAGAATGGCGTGAACCCGGGAGGCGGAGCTTGCAGTGAACCGAGATCCCGCCACTGCACTCCAGCCTGGGCGGCAGAGCGAGACTCCGTCTCAAAAAAACCAAACCAAACCAAACAAACAAACAAAAGATGCTCACGGTGATAGAAACTTTCAAGTTCTCTGAAAGACGACCACACTGATTTGCCATTTTTACCTCTTAGATTGACAGAAAACTAATAGTAATGTTTTGAAGCACAGCTGGGGAAACAAGCACTCGTCATTGCTGTTTGGAGTGTAAATTGATGCTCTCCCATGGAGGTGGATTTGGCGGTTGCCATCAAAATTACAGGCCGGGCGTGGTGGCTCATGTCTGTAATCCCAGCACTTTGGGAGGCCGAGGCGGGCGGATCACCTGAGGTCTGGAGTTCGAGACCAGCCTGGCCAACATGGTGAAACCCCATCTCTACTAAAAAATACATAAAATTAGCCTTGTGTGGTGGCGCATGCCTGTAATCCCAGCTATTCGGGAGGCTGAGGCAGGAGAATCACTTGAACCCTGGGGGCAGAGGTTGCAGTGAGCTGAGATCGTGCCACTGTATTCCAGCCTGGGAAACAAGAGCAAGACTTCGTCTCAAAACAACAACAACAAATTACAAATATGTGGATGCTGTGACATGGCAATGTCACCTCCAGCAAGTAATCTTCCCTTCACCCTTACACACCTTCAAATGAAGTCTGCATATGGCTATTCGTCACAGCAGTGTTTGACAGCAAAAGATTGGAAACAACCCTTGTCCATAAATAGGAAGCCAGGAAAACACATCCCTGTGTGCCTCCCCATTGAATACTCTGCAGCTGTAATAAGGATGCTTCATGTACTGACGTGGAAAGGCACCCTCACCCCACAATGGACGTACCAGCCCACCAGCATGGTTAAGTGGCCCCACAAATCCTTGCCAACGCTTAGCATCAGGATTATGTTCCTGCAGCAAGACATATGCCACCAAAATGAGGAAATAAACCAAGAAAGATGATGTGGGTCAGCAGTCACAGGACCCAACGCAGGGAGAGAACAGGAAGTCCTGGGAGACAGCCTCTTATCAGCACCCAGCAGATGACAGCCAGTGGGAGGACAGGGCTCCAGGAGAAGCCCAAACGCCTCTGCGGAACAGAAAACATGAAAGGAAGGGGGAGTGGGAATGGCAGCTTCTGTTAAAAGCCTCTTAACACTATAAATTACCTTTAAGTACTACTTTGATTTTTTTTAAATGGATTTTAAGCTGGGCATGGTGGCTCATGCCTGCAGTTCCAGCACTTTGGGAGGCAGGAGGATAACTTGAGGCCAGGCGTTCAAGACCAGCCTGGGCAACATAGGGAGACCTTGTCTCTACAAAAAATTTAAAAATTAGCCAGGCGTAGTGGCGCACACCTGTAGTCCCAGCTACTTGGGAGGCCGAGGGAGGGGAATAGCTTGAGCCCAGGAGTTCAAGGCTGCGGCGAGCTATAATTGAGCCACTGCCCTCCAGCCTGAGTGATAGAATGAGACCCTGTCTCCCATCCCCCCAGAAAAACATTTTACAACCAAAAAGTACAGTAAATCACTGTAGGGAGTAGGGTAGAGCTCCCAAAGCTGAGAGGGCCTATGGCCTAGCAAGAGAGCTCTGCACCCAAAGAAATGAGCAGGAAAACAGGGAAGGGGAGTACACAGACAGCAAAAGGTGGGTCTCTCTCAAATGTGATGTTCCTCCAAAATAATAGCATCTCAGACACACGCAGCTACCAGAGGAGGAAACACCCTGGGGCCCAGGCCCAGGGAGGGAGAGCCGGGGAGCTCCTCAGGGCCGTGAGGATGAAGGGTATTTGCCAAGCATCAGGAGCAGGAATCTCAAAGGGCAGGCAGAGGAGAGGAGCCGAGGGAAACCTACGGACCCCCTTCCCAGCAAAACGAGTGCAAGGGGTAAAAAGGATTTTTTTAAGCCTCCAGAAATTGTCTTTTTTTTTTTTTTTTTTTTGAGACAGAGTCTCACTCTGTTGCCCAGGCTGGAGTGCAGTGTCACAATCTGGCTCACTGCAACCTCCGCCTCCCGGGTTCAAGCAATTCTCCTGCCTCAGCCTCCTGAGTAGCTGGGATTACAGGCGCCCACCACCATGCCTGGCTATGTTTTTTTTGTATTTTTAGTAGAGACGGGGTTTCACCATGTTGGTCAGGCTGGTCTCGAACTCCTGACCTCGTGATCCGCCTGCCTCGGTCTCCCAAATGCTGGGATTACAGGCGTGAGCCACCACGCCCGGCCCGGAAGTTGTCTTAAAATAATAGACCAAATGAAGAAAAACTGATTCAAGAAAAAATCTACTGAAGCTCAGTAAGAACAGTGAGCACTATGAAATTTGAACTATTACCACTTCCTCCATCCTTACTCTCAGCTCAGAGTGACAAAAGCTCTGTGCCAGGTGGGTGCAGTCAACAACACAAAGCTCTCTGTCCCCCAGCTCCCAGGCAAGGCTACCATATCCCCACGGGAGGGGCAGGCTTCCAGCATCTCTCTCCGCAAGCCCAGCTCTGTGTTAGAAGCTAAATCTGGAGCAAGTGCAGCTGAGAGGTCAGGGCCCCCTCCTCCACTCAGCCCTTCCATTGCAGAGTGGAGACTCTGCCCTAGGTGCTTCAGTCTGAGCACACCGAGTCAGGCTGGCTCCAGCTCACTCAGGGTGGAAATTCCATGCTGGGAGAGGCAAGCCAGGAAGATCAGAGGCCGCAGTCCCCACCCAGTCCACTCATCAAGCAAGGGTGTCACTCTGAGAAAGTGGGCCGTTGTCCCTACCACCCACAGTGAAGCAGTGACTGAGAAATTTTGCCCAGGAGAGGAGAGGCAAGGCACAGGACAGACAGCTTCTAAGCTCTCCCCAAAGGAATTGCCTTTATTTGAACACAGTGTAGGTAAGTTCAAGGCTAAGGGCACTCAAAAAACAAGAGAGGCTAGGTGTGGAGGCCGACGCCTGTAATCCTAGCACTTTAAGAGGCTGAGGCAGGTGGATCACCCGAGCTCAGAATTTTGAGGCCAGCCTGGCCAGCATGGTGAAACTCCGTCTTTACCAAAAATATAAAAAATTAGCCTGGTGTGGTGGCACACGCCTGTAATCCCAGCTACTTGGGAGGCTGAGGCAGGAGAATCGTTTCAACCCAAGAGACAGAGGTTGCAGTGAGCCGAGATTGTGCCGCTGCACTCCAGCCTCGGCGACAGAGCTGGACTGTCTAAAAACAAAACAAAAACAGTAGAGATCGTGTTGGTAAGCGATTAACAGATAACTAGTAGCTTCAACAGAGCAACAAGCTAAACCATAAGCCAGCCAATTTACCAGATAGAACCATGGAGAAAGCAGCCACAAAGAGCCCTCTGGGGTCAGAATGAACCTCGAAGACTGACCTGGAACACTGCCCCTGCAGAGGCACCTGCATTTAATTGAATCAAACTGTGGAGAAATGTTGGTCCCAGGACCTGGTCTTAACAGTAGAACCATCATCCAGCAGTTGGTGGCGCCTAACAGCTGGTGCGAGACCAACAAAGGCAGACAGTTAACAGAATTACGAGGGAAAGGGACAGCCAAAGAGAGCCCTGCTAAAGCCACCGCCACCCCAGGATGACTGTGAGCATGCCCAAGGCTCCCCCTGAGGAGCAACATCAGAGGCATCACCTTGCAGGTGAAACAGACTGCGTTAAAATAGCCCAGTTAAGTCTCATGCTTTTCCCTGGCACGTGGCCTGCACCTGAGGCCTTTGCTCTCTATTTTTTGCCAGTTTGCCAGTAAAACTTTACTTATCAAAACAGGCAGCCAGCCTGTGGGCAATAGCTTACTGATTTAATTTTTTTAAATACTGCCTTGTTTATCCTGATTCTCTCCCGTGCCTTGGCATCCCTGGGAAGTTGCTTACTTAAGAGGCCAAGGGGCCGGGGGCGGTGGCTCACGCCTGTAATCCCAGCCCTTTGGGAGGCGGAGGTGGGGGGGGGGGGTGGGGATCATTTGCGGTCAGGAGTTCGAGACCAGCCTGGCCAACAAGGTGAAACCCCTTTTCTACTAAAAACTCAAAAATTAGCCGGGCGTGGTGGCACACGCCTGTACTCCCAGCTACTCAGGAGGCTGAGGCAGGAGAATGGCTTGAACCCGGGAGGCGGAGGTTGCAGTGAGCCGAGATCTCGCCACTGCACTCCAGACACAGCGAGACCACGTCTCAAAAAAAAAAAAAAAGAAGCCGAGGCCGTCGCCGGCCCGCGCCGAACCGCCAGGGGGCGCCCTCCCTCCGGCACCGCCCACTCAGCCCGGCAGGAATCCGGGGCACAGGGGGCCCCTGACGCCGCGCTGGGCGTCCCGAGTGCTGGGCGTCAGATTTGCTCCTTCGCGCTCCTCCGGCGGCAGCGCTCCTCCCCACCCCGCCCCCAGCAATCGCCCACCGACCTGCGTCCCTTTCTCCGCCGAGATGCCTTGGGATCTGCTCCCTCCTTCCCCTCACGGACCCTCCCCCAGGTCTGGCCTCAGCTGCTCCCACCTCCTGAGGTTTTTCTCGCGTTTTGATTTTAGGGCGGGCCTCCCAGCACGAAAGCCTGACCTAAAATCAAGGCTGATTATAGTTCCTGCTCCCAAACAATCCTTCCCTTCAGCCAGACCTGAGCCTCCTGAGAGCCCGCGGCTGAGCTGAGGGAGAGCCCTCGCGACCCCCGCGGGGGATGTGGGCGAGAAAGCGCCTCACTCTCCTCCCGCGCAAAACGCCGGAGAGACCGGAAAACGCAGCCGTCGAGGTGCGCAATATTTTAATGCCATGTTTTTAAAAGTTAAAGTTAATGAAAAAGTCCATGAACAAAATATCAACATTTTAAATAAAGACAGGATTGGATTTTTTTTTTTTTTGACGGAGTCTCTCCCCGTCGCCCAGGCTGGAGAGCAGCGGCGCCATCTCTGCTCACTGCAACCTCCGCCTCCCGAGTTCAAGCGATTCTCCTGCCTCAGCCTCCTGAGTAGCTGGGATTACAGGCGCCCGCCGCCATGTTTGGCTAATTTTTTGCATCTTTAGTAGAGACGGGGTTTCACCATATTGGCCAGGCTGGTCTCGAACTCCTGACTTCGTGATCCCCCCACCTCATCCTCCCAAAGTGCTGGGATTACAGGCGTGAACCACCGCGCCTGGCCGGATTGGATTTTTCTTTTGGCCTCAGGCTCCAGTCCTCTGACTGACCTTGTCTTTGACTTTTGAAAATATTGTATTAAAATATTATTTATGCTGATGACTGAGATTTTGAGGACCCTTCTCCAATTTTCCACCTGAGGCAACCATCTCACTCACTTCATCCCAGTCCCAGCCCCCTGTAGAGACAGTCAATAAACAAGTAATAGGTGGATGTGGTGGCTCACGCCTGTAATCCCAGCACTTTGGGAAGCCAAGGTGGGCAGATCACCTGAGGTCAGGAGTTCTAGACCAGCCTGGCCAACATGGTGAAATCCCATCTCTACAAAAAATATAAAAATCAGCTGGGCGTGGTGGCACGCGCCTGTAATCCCAGCTACTCGGGAGGCTGAGGCAGGAGAATCACTTGAACCTGTCGGAGTTTGCAGTAAGCTGAGATAGGGCCATTGCACTCCAGCTGGCGACAGAGCAAGACTCTGTCTCAAAAAAAAAAAAATACATAAAAGAAAAGTAATAATTTCAGAAAGTGATAAGATCTAGAGAAAATTAAACATGACCACGTGACCCAGCAACTCCACCCTCCTAGGTATTCCATTCCAAAAGAAATGACAACATACAGTCACACAAAAACTTGCACACAAATGTACATAGCCACACTGCTCACAATAGCCGAGGAGTGGGGAACAAACAAAATGTACTTCAGTGGATGAATGCTACACAAAATGTGGCTGTGATCTTATCAAATATACATTTGGTCTTCATCCGGGCTTCCTGGCCTACAACTGCTAGAATCCTCAGAATCTCCACAGTAGTGTCTTTCATATGCTAAAGAGGTGGGTGAAGGCGGGCAGCCCCCAGGTAGCTCCAGGATGGGGCTGGTCACCAGAAGGACCAAGGCAGGACTAGAGGCCTGGGACTTTCAGCCTCACCCCCCAGCCTCCGGGGAGCGGAGAGGGGCTGAAGGTTAAGTTGGTCACCCATGGCCAGTGATTTCACCAGCCACGCCCAAGAAATGAAGCCTCCGTATAACCTCCAGGATAGCTGAACACATGGAGGTTCCTGGAGGGCCGCGTGCCCAGGGAGGGGTAGAACCTTCGTGCCCCTTTCCCCATGCCTTGCCCAGGCATCTCTTCATCTGTATTCTTCCCAATACCCTTTATAATAAACCAGCAAATGTAAGTGTGTCCCCGAGTTCTGTGAGCCACTCTCGCAAATTAATTGAACGCAAGGAGGGCGTCATGGGAACCCCAACTTGAAGCCGGTCCCTCAGAAGTTCCTGAGGCCCTGACTTGGGAGTGGCATCAGAAGTGGAGGCAGTCTTGGGGACTGAGCCCCACCCTGTGGGCTCTGACGCTCTCTCCAGGTAGATAGCATTAGAATATAGAGGACACCCAGCTGGTGCCTAATGCAGAATTGGTTGCTTGCTTGCTGATGTGTGGGGAGAAACCCCCAACATTTGGTCACCGAAGCCTTCTGTGTTGCTTACTGTGGCGTGGGAGCAGAGGAAAAACGGTTTGTGTTTTTTCCACTCACAGATGGTTCTCTTGAAGTTTTTTCTGCCCATACATGCTGCACTGTTCTATACTGGGGCTGACCTCAGTTCAAAACTGGGAGACAAGAAAGAAAAAGCAACTGGGAAACTTGCCCTTGAATAGGTCATTCTTCAAGTTTCAGCTCTTCTCTCCTATCCACCTGCTATTGTTAACACTGCAGAGTCCTTAGCTAGTGACTTGTTGATTTTGTCCCTAGACAGCGGCATGGATGGATTGTAGTGGTCTCTTACTTCATCTTGGCCAGCTTCAGAATCCAAAATGTAATATTTAACCTCCCTAATTACGACGAATGTTAATTCTCCCATTTATTTTATTTTATTTTTTATTTTTTTGAGATGGAGTCTTGCTCTGTTGCTCAGGCTGGAGTGCAGTGGTGCAATTTCGGCTCACTGCAACCTCTGCCTCCTGGATTCAAAGGATTCTCCTGCCTCAGCCTCCCGAGTAGCTGGGATTACAGGTGCCCACCACCATGCCCGGGTAATTATTTTTTTGTATTTTTTAGTGGAGACAGGGTTTCACTATGCTGGTCAGGCCGGTCTCAAACTCCTGACCTTGGGTGATCCGCCCACCTCAGCCTCCCAAAGTGCTGGGATTACAGGCGTGAGCCACTGCGCCTGGCCGATTCTCCCATTTTAAGGATTAAAAAGTTGAGGTTTAAAGAGGTATAGTCATCTGCCCAACCTGTATAGCCAATGCTAAGGTTTATTTAAAATTAACTGATGAAACCTGTGTGGGGTGGAGTCAGAAAGCAGGAGAGGGTAAAAGAAAACAGGTGATGGAAGAACAGAGTGGTAGGGGAGGAAGAGGGTGAAATGGGAGAGAAAAGGAAGAGAAGGCCAGGCACAGTGGCTCACACTTGTAACCTGAATGCTTTGGGAGGCTGAGGTGGGAGGATCACTTGAGGCCAGGAGTTCCAGGCCAGCCTGGGCAGCATAGCAAGACCGTGTCTCAACAACAACGAAAAAGCATCCAGGCATGGTGGGGCGTGGCTGTAGCCTTATCTACTCAGAAGGCTGGGTCAGGAGCATGGCTTGAGCCTGGGAGTTTGAGGCTGCAGTGAGCTATGATTGTGCCACTGCCCTCCAGCCTGGGCAGCAGAGCCAGATCCTGTGTAAAAAAAAAAAAAAAAAGGCACTGCGGCTGCAGAATGGTCGGCGGTGGGAGGAAGTGCAAGCCCAGCGGGGAGGGGCCTGTGAAAAAATGGTTAATGTGAAGAAAAGTAAATTCTATGAAGCTGATGTGGTCTTCGACAAGAAGTAGAAAATCATTATAAGCTCTCTTCACCTGAAGATTCCGATCGTTTCTGGAAGTTCTTTGAAGAACTTGATCCTGAAAAGCCAGCTGATCACTTTCTGCAAGCCTCGGACTTCAGTTAGGTGGTCCTTATGATATCCTTGCTGGAAAACATAAAATTAAGAAAAATTCAACAGGCCTGAATGTTAGCCTTCATTGGAGGTTTTACCATGATCCTCCTGAGTTCCAGACCGTCATTATTGGAGATAATAAAACTCAGTACCACATGGGGTATTTCAGGGATTCTTCTGATGAACTTCCTGCATATGTTGGTATAAATGAAGCAAAGAAAAAGTGTACAATTGTTCCAAATGGAGATAATGTATTTGTGGCAGTCAAATTATTTTTGATGAAAAAACTTAAAGAAGTAACGCATAAAAAGAAAACTAGGCCGGGTGCAGTGGCTCACGCCTGTAATCCCAGCACTTTGGGAGGCCGAGGCGGGTGGATCACCTGAGGTAGGGAGTTTGAGACCAGCCTGACCAACATGGAGAAACCCCATCTCTACTAAAAATACAAAATTAGCCGGGCGTGGTGGCGCATGCCTGTAATCCCAGCTACTCGGGAGGCTGAGGCAGGAGAATCGCTTGAACCCGGGAGGTGGAAGTTGCAGTGAGCCAAGATCGTGCCATTGCACTCCAGCCTGGGCAACAACAGCAAAACTCTGCCTCAAAAAAAAAAAAAAAAAAACTAATCTCTTGAAAAACATAGATGAAAAACTCGCAGAAGCAGCCAGAGAAATGGGGTCCTCACTGGAACAGACAACCACGAAGATGAAACCGATAAGAAAGTTGTGACGAAGGCCTTTCATGGTGCAGGCTTGGCTGTTCCAGCAGATAAAAATGATGTTGGGTACAGAGAGCTCCCTGAAACAGATGCTGACGTCAACAGAATTTGCAAGACAATAGTTGAGGCTGCAAGTGAGGAGAGACTGAAAGCTTTTGTTCCCATTCAGGAAATGATGACTTTCGTGCAGTTTGCTAGTGATGAATGTAATTGTGGGAAGGGGCGTGAGTTGGGAATGGAGCTCTTTTGCTGTGGCTCACATTATTTTCATAAAGTTGCTGCTCAGCATTTACCTCTTGCATATAATCTGTTGAAGAGGAATCTGCAGAAATTATTGAGGATCATTTGGCAAACAGAAGTAAAGAGAACATAGAGCAACTTGCTGCATGAGTCAGGTGGCTTTGTTTGGTGTACAGTATTTCAAAGGATTAGTATTAAACTTGTGATTTTTGTTTTGTTTTTAAGGAATATAAAAAATAAACATTTACTAAAAACATTTATAATTAAAGAAAAAAAAGAGAAAAGGCAAAGGAGGAGAAAATCGAGAAGGTAAGGGCATCTCCTACCCCATGGGTCAGGATGGTACCAGGCAATGCATCTCTACACACAGAGCACCCACCCAGAACCCGCTGCCTTCACACAGTCCCCTCCCTTCGGGAAGTCAGCATAAGCACACCAGCCGGTCTGCGATGTCATCTTATCTGCTGTTGCAGTCAGGGGCTCAGGCTTAAAGCAATCAGCCCTGGCATTTCCTTGTTGACTCTATTCGTCCAGAGTGGTTGGGCAGGTATCAAAATTGGCTGAAGGCCAGGTGTGGTGGCTCTTGCCTGTAATCCCAGCACTTTGGGAGGCCAAGGCAGGAGGATCTCCTGAGCCCAGAATTTGAGAGCAGCCTGGGCAACATAGAGAGTCCCCGTCTCTACCAACGGAAAAAAAATGGCTGAAGATAAGAATTTTTTTTCTGCCATTGAGGGAATGCTTTCTCTCTCCCCATCTAGCAGGAATGAGGAAGTGCCTTGCTCCAGTTGCGGCTGGCATTTATCTTGCAGCTGTGAGAGAAGACGGCCTTGGGGACAAAGACTGTGAAAGGCCACGCAGGCTGTCCAAAACCCTTTCTTCCCCGGATCCCCTTCTCAAGGAAGCCCATGTCAGTGAGGGTTTCTGTTACTTGCAGCCCAAGGCATCCCAATGGCCCCCAATGGGTGTCTCTTGTCCCAGCCTGGGATGCTGCTGGCATGCCCCAGGTGATGCTGGAGAGACTCCTGACTCATCCCAGGGGCAGGGCAAGCCACATCTGTCACAGGGGAACAAGTGTGCCTGTTACTGCCGCTACCCAGATCTATGTGCCTTATACCTATAAGTGCATCCCAATTTTCCTTGGGAAACCCTCCAGACACCAACCAATTCTGGCATCAACTGGGTGTCCTATGGTTCAAGCTGATTCTGACACTTAACTACTCGGAGTTGACTTGACACTCCATAGGGTTTAGTCCCATAATACTGGCCTGTCTTCAGGTGCCAAGTTACCCACACTTTGGTCTGACTTGGCTACAAAGTCAGGGGTTCCCACAACCTGCCCTACTTCAGGTTCTGTAATTTGCTAGAATGACTCACAGGACTCAGGAAGGTACTTACCTTACTCTTGCCATCATAAAGGATACAACTCAGGAACCGCCAAATGGAGGAGATGCACAGGGCGAGGGATGAGGAAAGGGGCCTGGAGCCCGCATACCCTCTCTGGGTGCATCCCCTCCCAGCATATCAGTGTGTTCACCAACCCAGAAGCTCGGAGGCTTCATTACCCGAGCCTTGACCAGTGGAGACTGATTCAGTCTCCAGCTCCCCACCCCTCCCTGGAGATTGGGGGTTGGGGCTGAAAGTCCTGACCCTCTAAATGCATCGTTGGTTCCTCTGGCAACCAGCCCTCATCCTGAAGCTATCTAAAATCATTATCAGAGATTACCACCATTATCAGAGATTCCAAGGGTTTCGGGAGTTATGTGCCAAAAGCAGGGACCAAGACCAACATTTATTTTTTATTGTACCACCCTCTCCATTTTCAGCCCATGGGGCTGGGTCAAGGGGTCCTCCCCCTAGGCCTCTAGGAAGAAACACGTGGTCTGGTCCATTGGAGCATTTTATTGAGCTGGTCCAAGTGGCTGGCTTAATGGGACTCACGACATGAGATAAGCCACTGAGGCTCAGAATACGGAATGGTAAGTCCTTTAAAAAAGAGAAAGCATTTCTGTCCTGCTGTGCCCCGCTGGGATTCTGAGACGGCAGAACGTTCCTCCTGAATGTGCTGGGACACGCCGGGGGTCATCTTGTACCCACACAGGGAGAGCCACCTGAGAACAAATGAAGGCAACCCAGGGGAGAGCAAGGTTGAGACAGGGACAGAGGGAGCCCAACATTGATGATATCTTTTGAGCGTGTAGATTCAGTCATGCCTTAGATCAGACCCATTATATTCTCCTCCTGCTTGAGCTGGGCTTCACATACTTGCAACCACCATGGCACTGATCAGTGCCTGCCACCCTTAGTTTGCGGGGCCATCAGATTGCTTAAGGGCCCTCCCCAACTGCCCTCTTCACTCTTAGCTGAAAATCCCAAGTTCTAGATTTTCAGAGTTGGGGCCCCTCCATCAGGAGGAGCTCCCTTCTCTAGGATAGGCCTAATTTGGGAGTGTTTTAAAATGAGTACATGGGAAATTTCAAGAGGCCAAGACCCCAGAGCCCAGCCTGGGAGTATTTCAGTGCTCCCTCCCCTTTGTCTCTACCTCCGTCAGTTAGGGCTGCATTCAGATGCAAATAACAGCAAATCTTTCACACGAGGGTTTAAACAAAGAAGTGCAGAAGAATGCGCCAGGCTGGCTGAGCCCTGGCTCAGCTCAGGGGCCCAGGCTCCCTTGTCCGTCTCCACTGCCTTTAGTGCATGGCTTCTGTCCTCAGGACCCCATGTGGCAGGAAGAAGGAGAAATACAGCACAACTGACCTCCCAGCCGGTGCATTGCCCAGAACCTCTGCAGGCTGGGACGTGCTGTGGGAGGGGGGCGGGTGGGGAGGATCTTCGATTGTTTGCTAATGTATTCCAAGTACCTAGAACTGCTGCTCCATAAAAATGTGCTGAATGAACGAGTGGGTGGATGAACGGATGGATGCCCATACAGGCAAACTGAATTTTTACTTCCTACAGCCTCTGCTGTGGAGTCAGGCGTGGGAGAAGGGGTGAGCATTGAGTGGCCCCTTAAGGCATCTGTCACTCTGTTCCTCACGCTGACACGTGATCTCTTGACATCCCCATTGGCTGTCACCTTCTACAGGTGGAATCTCTTCTTTTGTTTGTTTGTTGGAGTTGGAGTTTCGCTCTTGTTGCCCAAGCTGGAGTGCAGTAACGCGATCACGGCTCACTGCAACCTCTGCCTCCTGGGTTCAAGTAATTCTCCTGCCTCTAGCCTCCTGAGTAGCTGGGATTACAGGTGCCTGCTACCACACCCAGCTAATTTTTTTGTATTTTTAGTAGAAACGGGATTTCACCATGTTGGCCAGGCTGGTCTCAAACTCCTGACCTCAGGTGAACCACCCGCCTCGGCCTCCCAAAGTGCTGGGATTACAGGCGTGAGCCACCGCGCCCGGCAAGAGATTTCTCTTGTCATCTATGTGAGCCGATCTGGAACTCTCAACCCCCACCAAACTTTTTTAGAATATTCTTGTTGTTGTTTGTATTTTGTTTTCTTTTGAGACAGGGTCTCATCCTGTCACCCAGGCTGGAGTGCAATGGTACAAACACAGCTCACTGTAGCGTCAATAGCCTCAACTTCCTGGGCTTAAGCAATCTTCCTGCCTCAGCCTCCAGAGTAGCTGGGACACCACAACGCCCAGCAAATTATTTTATGATTTTTTGTAGAGATGGGGGTCTCGCTATGCTGTTCAGGCTGGCCTTAAACTCCTGGCCGCAAGTGATCCTCCCGTCTCAGCCTCCCAGAGCACTGGAATTACAGGGGTGAGCCATTGCACCCAGCCCGCCTGAGAACTTGCACCTTTCTGTTGGGATCTGGCAAATGCATCATACTAGCAACAGCTATTCATCCGGAAGAGGGGGTTGCATGGCTCATCCTCTAGGCTTAACCTTGGGCAGGAGTTTGAGGGTCCTGGGATTTTTAAAGTTTCCCTTTGTACTTTCCAGTCCTTGTTCATACATATGGACTTGTTCCACATAATGGCAACCAGAGATTTATTTGTATTCTGCTTTTGCACTCAACAGAACATCGTAAGTGTTCACGTTGCTACAGCCTGTTCGATATATTAATAGCTGCATAACCATCCTCAAATTTGTTGCACCACAATTTGCTTAACAAATAAAGGAGTTTATTTCCAACTTTTTGTCCCTGTAGCTAATGCTACAGTAAATATCCTTATGCACATAGTTTGTTTTCTCTTGTGTTGAATGTTGGCTTAAAAGTGTCCTGGACTCTGGTGTCAGCTCTGGACTGGCAGCTTGCATTGCCCGCCCACCTGAATCCCCAGGCTGCTGGTCATGGAAAAGCTTCTGGGTCTCTCATGTCAGACTCTCGGCTGACCACAAATGATCTGCACATTGTCCCCTACCTGGAAGACATGTCTGAGAGAGAAGATCAAAACCCCACCTCTACTTCTGAAAGAAACCAGCCAGCGTTCACCTGGCAGGAAGTGGGATCAGGGATCTGCATGGGCTTCCCCCTGCAGCAGACGGAGGCTGCCCTTGCCTGCCCGTTGCCCACTAAGCTATTTTGGCCCTGGAAGGGGGCCCATTCCTCCTCCATCAGATACTCTCTTGGCAGAGCTGACAGTCAAGGTGGTTCGAGTTTCTACAGTCAAGGGGCAGGCATCTGATCCAAGGTAGGAAGCTTGTGTTCTTCCTTGAGGAACCCAGCACTGGCTTTGCCCGACAGCAGCACCCTCATAGAACCCTTTGGTTCCAGCCACCCCAACCCGCACGGCTGCATGAGGGCTGTCCTTTCTGAGCCTAGCCCTGCTACCCTCCCTCTGAGAAGTGAAGTCGGCTAGGCTTCTGGGTCGGGTGGGGACTTGGAGAACTTTTGTGTCTAACTAAAGGATTGTAAACAGACCAATCAGCGCTCTGTGTCTAGCTAAAGGTTTGTAAACGCACCAATCAGCACTCTGTCAAAACGGACCAATCAGCACTCTGTAAAATGGACCAATCAGCACTCTGTAAAATGGACCAATCAGCAGGATGGGGGGGCGGGGCAAATAATGGAATAAAAGCTGGCCACCCCCTGCGGCAGCGGCAACCCGCTTGAGTCCTGTTCCACGCTGTGGAAACTTTGTTTTTTTTTCTTTGCAATAAATCTTGCCACTGGCTCACGGTTTGGGTGAGGCACTGCATTTATGAGCTATGACACTCACTGGAAAGGTCTGCAGGTTCACTCCTGAAGTCAGTGAGACCACAAACCCACCGGGAGGAACGAACAATCTTGGACGCGCCGCCTTTAAGAGCTGTAAGACTCACTGCGAAGGTCTGCGGCTTCACTTCTGAAGTCAGGAAGACCACGAACCCACCAGAAGGAAGAAACTCTGGACACATCTTAACATCTGAAGGAACAAACTCTGGACACACCGTCTTTAAGAATTGTAACACTTGCTGTGAGAGTCTGCAGCTTCATTCTTGAAGTCAGGGAGACCAAGAACCCACCAGAAGGAACCAGTTCCGGACGCACTTCCAGCCAGATGAGTGGCTCTGCAGACTTCCAAAGGAGCCGCTTTCTGTGCAAGTTGGACCAAGTCTGTTTCTCCTGTCCATGAGGATAAGGGTCCTGGATATCCTAGGTCGCCTGGTGGAGGGGCCCTCGGGAATCCAACGATCACCACTGCAAGTCAGCCTCAGCACCAGCACTCAGATGCAGGGGTGGCTGGCCTCAGGCTTCCTCAGCCCAGGTGCATGGCCTCTCGCTCAGCTCTTTGTGGCTCAGTCATTCATCACTCTGATCAAACTCATCTTGACAAAGGACAAAGCAATACCTTCGATCCTGCTTTTTAGCAGCCATCCTGGCAGCCTGTGACTGCTCAGCCTCCCAAAGGCAGGACCAGGTCCAGGACCCACCCGAATTCCTGGACAGAGCTCGACTGTCAGCTTGAGGCTTCCTGGGCTGGGCCAAATGCAAAGAAACCCAGGGGTCCTCTGCATCCTGAGCCTGGCGCCAACCTGCAGTAGCAACATGAGTGAGGCCCAGGAGCCTGCCAGGACTGGGTTTACGCCCCAGAGCCGCCACTCACTACTCATCAGCTGGACAAAGAGCTTCTCTGAGTTTCAGTTTCCAGATCTGCAAAATAGGTGTAACAATCCCTGTGTCTGAGCATCTGCAGGGAGATCAAATTCTCGTCTCTGGAACATGACAGCTTCCAAATCTGAGCCATCCTGTCACTTCTCTTGGGTCAATTGGGGTTTCCACGATGTCACCCCATCAGACTGTCACTAACATGGCCTGAGAGCCCTGGGCTCGGGGACTGCCAGCATGGTAGGTTTCCCTCCCCGTACTCCTGCCGTTACTTCCCTGATGAGACCATCCCCCAGAGAAGGGAAAGGAGGGCAGTTTCGTTCATTTAGTGCAGAGCCTGGGAGGTGGGAGGAGCCTGGGCTAGCTTCATTTTTTTGAGGTTCTTGGTATGCTACAGATGAGAAGGTTGCAGTGATTGTGGTATAATTTCAGTGTTCTCACAACAAATTAGAACACAGCATACTTGTGGTGTTGACAGGACAACTGCAGAACTCAGTACATTTCCTGGGGAGTTCTGAGTGGTGCAGTCTTAGGGCAGGATACAAGCTTTGGGTCTCAGGATGGCTGTCCACTTCTGCTGGATCTGGGGTGCACCCTTACAGTCTGAATTTCTAGAAAAAGGCATAATCAAACCCCCTGCAGAACTTTCACGGGATCCCATTCAAATAAAACAGGGTGGAGGGACACGTTGAGATGTTTGGAAATATCTGAATAAGGGTGGGATATGGGGTTATTTTAGGGAATTCATTGTTCATAGGGAATTCACTGTTCATTGTCCCAGCCGTGATAGCATGGAAGAACAGCCCAAAGGGTCATAAGATAGTTCAGGAAAGAGCTTTACAAGTCAAAGTGACAGAGCAGCAGGTCCCCAACACTTTTGACACCAGGGACCAGGTTTAGTGGAAGACAATTTCTCCATGGACTGGAATCAGGCTGGGGGTGGTTTTGAGATGATTCAAGCACATTACATTTATTGTGCACTTTAATTCTATTATTATTAACTTGTAATATATAATGAAATATTATACAACTCACCATAATGTAGATCAGTGGGAGCCCTGAGCTTGTTTTCCTGCAACTAGACAGTCCCATCTGGAGGTGATGGAAGACAGTGACAGATCATCAGGCATTAGATTCTCATAAGGAGCACGGAACCTAGATCCCTCGCACACACAGTTCACGGTACGGCTCACGCTCCTATGAGAATTCAGTGCTGCTGCTGATGTGACAGGAGGTGGAGCTTAGGTGGTAACGTGAGCAATGGGGAGCAGCTGTAAATACAGATGAGGCTTCACTCGCTCACCAGCCTGCTCCGTGAGGTTGGGGACCCGTCAGATACAGCATTTATGACCACATGATAACCACAGCTGAATCCAGGTGGTGGGATACACAGCTGCTTCATTGTACCAATCTCAACTTTTTCATGTATTTGAAATTTTTCATTAGAAGAGAGTAAATTTTTTGGATTGCTACTGCAAATATGTTGTAGATTTTTCTAAATAAAATGCCATTACGTCATGTCCTGGTGGCAGTGGGCACCCGGTGCCTGCGAGTGCCTGCTCTGGGGGGTGCCTGTGGGAGGGTGGTGTTTCAGTCCTCACCCAGGCTGAACCCTTCACAGACCTCACCTCTATAGCAACAAGTCACAGGGAATGGGGTAACTACAGCGGCCACATGTTCCAGGCATCTGTCCTCTGATTTGCATCTGGCAGAGCTAGAGAGGCAGAGGTCATCATCTCCACTTCACAGAGAGAAACTGACCCCAAGGGGACGAGAACTTGCAGAGATCACAGAGCTGATTCGTGGCCAAGTGGGAATTTGAACCAATGGCATTCTGCTAAACCACTGTGAAAAATAAGAAAGAGGGGGAGGGGGAGGGAAGGGAGGCCTGATTTGTAGTGTGTGCCAATTTCCATGGTATAAATACTACTTTACTGCCGTGGCTGGTTTCAGAGTACCAATGTTTAACAACCGGCTTGCAGAATTTCTGAATATTTAATAATTGGCTCCAGCACAGCATCGATTTAAACCCAGGCCTAGGCATCTGTCCCTTGAGCTCCTCTTCCGTTTTCTGTCCTTTGCACACCAGTTGCATAATTTCTCCACATCTGTGTTCTACCTGTTATTTATTAAATAGTTTTCTTTAAGACATCTCACTTTTTGAAAGCAGGTGACATGACTATCATTGAAAGCTAAATCACTTGCTCTGAAGTAGAAGCTTATATTAAAATGAACGTTTATTTTTTTTAAATTAAAAAATGGTATTTGTACTTATTAAAGCTCCTAAGGAGAGTCGCAAAATACCCTTGCCGTGTGCTTGCCCTGGCGACCCACTCTGGGGACCTGGAGCCTGTCTCTTGGCCTTCTGTGAAGCCCATTAGATGGACACGGCTTCTCAATGGATTCTTTTGTTTTGAGATGGAGTCTTGCTCTGTTGCCCAGGCTGGAGTGCAGTGGTGCAATCTCGTCTCACTGCAACCTCTGCCTCCCAGGTTCGAGTGATTCTCCTGCCTCAGCCTCCAGAGTAGCTGGGATTACAGGTGCATGCCACCATACTCAGCTAATTTTTGTATTTTTAGTAGCGACGGGGTTTCACCATGTTGGCCAGGCTGGTCTCGAACTCCTGGCCTCAAGTGATCTGCCCACCTTGGCCTCCCAAAGTGCTGGGATTAACAGGCGTGAGCCACCGTGAATTCTTCACAAGGCAAATTCAGCAAATCTGATGTGAATGTGAAAAAGCTCGGCCAGTATCAGAAGCATCTCTTGTGTGGTTGATGTCTCCATAGAGCCCTTCACCTACAGCATCTGTGAGGACTTTAGGGTCTATAAGGAACACAGCCTCCCTGGACAGCCTGCTCCATGGAGTTGGACTGGGTTTCTGCAGGGCTTTTACCTGCAGCCACAGCTGGGGGTGGGGTTTCATAATTACCAACAGTGGAAGCCGCCAGCATAGATGGAGACTTACAAGGGGCAGGAGCAGGAGGTGGGCGTGGGGAGGGAAGACACAGATAAAAGAGGCTCAGGTGGGGAGGAAGGGGGCAGCTTGAAAATATGGCGCCAGTGCCTACCAACACGAAATACATGCCTGCACATGACACAGCATCCCACTCCGAAGGACACTCTCAGAGATGCAGACACATCCCCACCGAGAGGCATGCAGGCTTCATAACGGCTTGATCCATCACATTCACAAACGAAAATCAATATGAATGCCCATCCACAGGAAAATGGATAAATCAACAGTGGAACACTATACAGCAAATAAAAAGAGCAAACTATACCTACACACACAAAAACACGAAATCTCACAGACATAGGTTAAGAAAAAGAAACGACACCAAAGATTCCATATTGTATGATTCTATTTATATTATATAAAGTTCAACAACAGGCAAACTAATCAATGGTAACAGAAAGCAGGATAGTAGCTGGGTATGGTGGTGCACACCTGTAGTCTCAGCTACTCGGGAGGATGAGGTGGGAGCATTGCTGAGTCCAGGAGTTCAAGCCTGCAGGAAGCCATGATTGCATCACTGCGCTCCCGCCTGGGTGACAGACTAAGACCCTGTCTCTAAAGAAAGAAGAAAAGAAATCAGAATGGTGGGGTGCTCACGACGGAGCAGCTCAGGGAAGCTTTCAGGAGTGCTAGTAATGTTCTCCATCTTCATCTAGATAATGGGTAAAGGGTGTTTCCGCCTCATAAAAGACGTTTTGAGTTGTAAACATAAAATTTTTGCACTTTATGTATGTTATGTTGCAATATAAAAAAGCAATAAATGTATGAAAGAAGTAAAAAAAAAACACAATATAGTGCTGGGTGAAGAGGATCAGAAACAGAATGACATCAATAACCCAATACAGTTTAATAATTAAAAAGCACAGGCACATTAAGCAACAACACACATTTTGCAAGAACACAAACAAAAGAGACGCATGAGGCACACTAAAATGGTTCCCTATGGGTCAAGGAATGGGAGTGAGAAATAGTGATAAAAGGGAGCATGTTAATAATGAAACAAGAGCAGGGCCTTCCTAGGACCAGTGGGGATTATGTGCCATTCAAGAAAGAAAAGGAAGAGGAGGAGAAAGAGGAGTTGGACTTTGGGAAATCTGGGCAACCCCCTGGGGTTTGTAGCACTGTTCAGGGGACCCCCGCTTGGTCTCTGATTGCTGGCATCCCAAACTCTGTGCAGCATGCTTTACACACACCCATTACCCTGTCTGCTGTCCTGGGAGGGCAGACATTGCTCACAGGGGAGACAGATCTCCTCCTGAAGGACTGAAGCTCTTACGGGGCCTGGATGTGGGAGGCTGGCAGCTCGGGCCCCACTGGAGTTCTGGGGAGAAGGGGATTTTGAGCTGGGGCTTACAGGTGACCTAGGATTTATTGTAGGCTGAGAAATGGACACAGAGGCAGGGGAATATGGTGCGTGGTGGAGTCAGGGAAATAACCCCATTAAGGAAAAAGGTTCGTGGGCAGCTCATTCACAGGCCAGCGTGGGCCAGAGCCAGACTGCGGCACACATCCTCCGTGAGACCTGCCATGTCCGATAAAACCACTCGTACTTTTATTTAACCAATACTTTTAATTCACTTTTTTCTTAAATGTTTTAAAAGATAGCATCGTGTAAAGATATACACATGGCCAATAAGCACATGAAAAGATGTTCAGCACCACTAATCATTAGGGAAATGCAAATCAAAACCATAATGAGAGACCACCTAATACCCATTTAGATGGCTACTATTTTGAAAAAGAAGTAGAGAAGTGTTGGCAAGGATGAGAAGAAACTGGAACCCTTGTGCAGTTGGTGGGAATGTAAAATGGGGCAGCTACTATTAAAAAAACAGTAGGGCAGTTCCTGAAAAAAATTAAGCATAGAATTACCATTAGATCTGGTAATTCCACTTCTGAGTATATACACAAAAGAATTGAAAGCAGGAAGGGATATTTATACGCCCAATGTTCATAGCATCATTATTCACAATAGCCAAACAGTAGAGGCAACCAAGTGTCCTATGATGAATGGATAAACAAAGTGTATTATATACATACAGTGGAATGGATGAATGGCTAAAAAAAAACTTGGAATATACATACAATGTGATATGATTCAGCCTTAGCAAAGGAGGAAATCTGATACGTACTTCAACAGAGGTGAACCTCAAGGACATCGTGCAAAGCAAGATAAGCTACTCACAAAAGGACAAATACTATATGATTCCACTTATGCGGGTAAGTAGAATCATCAAAATCATAGAGACAGAAAAGAAGAATGGTAGTTGGGGAAGGGGGAACGTTTAATGGGTGCAGAGTTTCAGTTTTACAAGATGGAAAGAGTTCTGGAGATGGATGGCAAAGGTTACACAACGATGTGAATGTACTTAATGCCACTGATCCATATGCTTAAAAATGGTTAAGATGGACAATTTTATGTTATGTGTATTTTACCATAATATTTTAAAAGGTAGCGTTGTATCACTATTATAAATGAAAAACTTCTTGTCTCCCTAAGGTCTCCTTAAAACCTTGAGGTTTCCTTAAAAGACAATGCCACTCCCAAGTACAGGCTGGTGTGAATGTTGCCGTACATGCTGGTGCGTGATGAGGCTGTGCACCGAGACCTCATCTTGCTTTATTTAAAGGGGAGATCAGCAAGTGCCAGGGAAGTGTTAAAGGTGCTCTGGAACCAATTTTCTCCTTGACAAATTCAGAAGGGTTGAGAAAGCCACTTCCTCCCCACCTGATTAACAAAGTGGTGCTTGTGAGCTTCTATAATTGTTTCTTGTGCCAGGGGTCATGGGCACCTTACAGTTTGAAGACTCCTCCTTTATAAGGACAAAGGAGTAGAGGCCATGAGCCTCTTGGGCAGGGGTAGGCCAGGGCATGCCCAGCAAGAAGAGCAGGAGACCGTCACCGGGAAGAGCCCTACACAGGCCCTAGATGTGGCCCTGGGCTGTGGGGAGAAGGAATTTCTGGGTCTTAGGTGCTAGAGCATGGGTACCTTGGTGCTAAGGACTCCTTGCCCTATGAAGGGTCCAGCTGGAGGGGACCAGATTAGAGCACTCTTTAGGTGCCAGGCCCAGGGCGAGGACCCCGCTGCTTTGGCCTAGGGTCTGTACTTGCCGAGGATAAGTAAATAAGTAAAAGCCGTTCTCCATAGGCCAGGGCACGGTTTATAAGGACTATGGTAGAGGATGGAAGAGAGGGAAATGGAGGGAGAAATTGTAAAGGATGTCTGCCAAGTCATCAATAGTGGACATCTGTTTTCTTTCTTTTTTCTTTTTCTGAGACGGAGTCTTGCTCTGTCGCCCAGGCTGGAGTGCAGTGGCTCGATCTCTGCTCACTGCAACCTCCGCTTCCCGGGTTCCAACGATTCTCCTGCCTCAGCCTCCCGAGTAGCTGGGACTACAGGCACGCATCACCACGACTAATTTTTTTATTTTTAGTAGAGACGGGGTTTCACCATGTTGGCCAAGCTGGTCTCGAACTCCTGACCTCGTGATCCGCCCACCTAGGCCTCCCAAAGTGCTGCGATTACGGGCGTGAGCCACCGCGCCTGGCCAGTGGTGGGCATCTTAAGTTTTAGCCTGCACTGCATCCGTACCCTTTCCTGGAAACAGTGCCTCAAATTTCTTTTTGGGGAGCCACCTCTTTTCCGGATTTTCAGAACATTTGGTTGTGCAAAGCTGACTCCACCCACTTCCCGCAGTAGGAGACAGGAGACTCAACCCTGGCTGGTCAGAAGACGCCAAACTTTCCCCCTCCGCCTCCCCACAAAGATCCTGTAAGTTCCTGAATTCGGCTGCACTGCCCCATTCTTCCTTTTAGCTGATACTTTATAGCGATGTGTATCTTTTAAACGCCATGGAGAGAGAAAATGAGAGTCGTGTGTGTGTGCGCGCGCGCGCGTTTCGGAAGGTGGAGGGGGGGTTCCCACTGCAACCCTCTGGTCCGGGGGCCCCTGGAGTAGTTCACCTAGTCACTAGAGCAGGGGCTCCCCAACCGCCCGGCCGCGGACCTGTACCGGCCCAGGGCCTTCGAGGAACCAGTAAGCGAGCAGGAGGTGAGTGAGCATCACCGCCTGAGCTCCGCCTCCTGTCAGATCAGGGCGGCATTAGACTCTCATAGCAACGTGAACCCGGCTGTGAACTGCGCATGCTTGGGACCTAGGTTGCCCACTTCTTACGAGAATCTAACGCCTGATGATCTGAGGTGGAGCAGCCTCATCCGGAAACCACTTCAACTCCCTCAGTCCCTGGAAAAACTCTCTTCCTGGAAACCCGTCCCCCAGTGCCAAAATGGTTAGGGACGGCTACCCTAGAGGTCTTTCCCAACCACTCGTGTCCCTGCAGGTCCGGGCCAGAGACATCCCCCATCCATGATGTCAACCGCATGACGTGAATGTTAAATCTCATGACATTTAATTTTAAACATTTCTTTTAAAGTTATGGCTTTTTTTCCTTTGTAGTCTGTTCTCACACATTTCCATACGTCCTCGCAAATCTCCCGGGCTCCACGCCCTGCGGCTATCACGCCTGACAGAGAAACAACCAGCACCAGCGGCTGACCCGGCTGCCCGGGCCCTCGTGCAGGCGGGCGGGAGCGGACAGGCCCTGGCACGCATGCGCTCGGGGCGGGACTGCGCCTTAGGCCTGCGCGTTGCCGCTAGACCAGCGGGGGGGCGGGGCGGCGGCGGACACGCGCCTCAGGCGGCAGCCGCGCGAGAGGGACTTTGTGTTCCGCTGACCCTCCTCGGGGCGCTTCCTCCCGTGCCGCCCTTCCCCTCCCCCGCCGCGTCCTTGCGAGGCGCCTCCCATTCGGTGGGACCGACCCGGGGGGATGGAGGGGGCACGCTTCTACAACCCTCCTGGGACCCCGAAGAGACGCCCGCGTGCGACCTGAGACGCCGCCCTCGCCGAGGGCCCATGGGCGCGTCCCCACAGGCGGGCAGTGGACGTGAGGGCGGCGAGCGGCGGGGCCGCGGCGTCCAGGAGGGCCGCGCTCGGGCTCGGCCCCGCGCAGGCCGCGCGCGCGCGCTCCCGCCGCCGCCCGGGCCGCGCCCGCCCCGCCTCTAGGCGCCGGCCCCGGAGCCCGGTCCGCGAGCAGCGGCGGCTGCCGGAGGGACGATGAGCTGCGCGGGGCGGGCGGGCCCTGCCCGGCTCGCCGCGCTCGCCCTGCTGACCTGCAGCCTGTGGCCGGCACGGGCAGACAACGCGAGCCAGGAGTACTACACGGCGCTCATCAACGTGACGGTGCAGGAGCCCGGCCGCGGCGCCCCGCTCACGTTTCGCATCGACCGCGGGCGCTACGGGCTTGACTCCCCCAAGGCCGAGGTCCGCGGCCAGGTGCTGGCGCCGCTGCCCCTCCACGGAGGTGAGTGCCGGCCCGGGGGCGGCGGGCGGTGGTCGCTGCATCCCGCGTAGGCGGCGGGACTAGGGTTCCCGGCCCCGGCTCTGGCCCTGGCTCTCCCGCGCTGCCCGGCCGACAGCCCCAGCCAGGGTCGAGGCTTCCGTCGTGGACAGCCCGGCCTGCTCCCGTGGGAACCAGGCTCCAGGAGCGTGACTGGGTTTTTCCCTTCTTTTAAAAAAGACTTGGAACGGTCATCTTTGCGTTCAGGCAGCTCGTTTGCTGGAGGGCATTGAGCTAGGAGTTTGCAGGGACAGCGTAGACAAAGGAGGTGGTGCAAGAGCGCAAAACTACTTCATGGGGAGGACGTCTCAGCCTGTATTTTGGAAGCGGCAGGTTCCTCAAATCACGGACTTAAGGCTGCGCTAGATCTGGAAGGATGCGGCCCTTTTCTAATATAAAAACGTGCCGTTTTTCTTAAGTGGTAAATTGGGGGGGGGGTGTAAATGGAAAATGGACATCTTCCCTGTTGCTTTTGGCTCTTGTTCTTGCCCTAGTAGTTTTACTGTAATTTGACGCCTGAAAATGTCACATTATGAGGATCTGACACTAATCGGAACTACTAGCCAAGGCTTTTCAGGTCACGGGTGCCGACCAAAAGGGAAATAGGTAAAATTTTCAAGAATTGTCTTTGAAACCATTCGGCTTAATGTCATGTTTTCCTATGAACAAGGACTTTGTTTAGTTGATTATTTGGTGTAAACATGTATTTGTTTAAATTATTAGTCATGGTTTGAAAGAAACCTTTTGCACATCGTGGAATATGATTTTTTGGGTTTTGGCCCACGCTGAACTTTTGGGAGATATCTGCCATTATCCCCACCCTCATTGTCACCCTGAGAATGCTGAGAGGGGATTTTTCTTTTCTAAACTGCTGTTCATGTTAGGATGACCTAAAGTAGGCAACCTAAATAAAGTCATGATTTGCTTGTACACTCTTAAGATACTAACATATTATGCCCCTCTGAGGTCTGTATTTGTATGCCAAAGTGCTAAGCTGTTTTCTTCTTTGAGACAGTCTGGCTGGGGAAAAATAATCACATAAGGCTTTTACTGTAGCCTGTCCGCAACTCAGACTAGGCTTTGAAAAGTCCGTTTTACACCAGTAATCAGGTGCTTAAGGTGCATATCTCATCTCTACTGTGTTAAAAATGGCAGTTAGGGTCCCAGCTTGGCCGTAGAAACAACTTTTGTCTTGGGTTCATTCAGTAAATATTTGCGTTCCTGCTCTGTGCCAGTCACTGTGGTTGAGATGCACAGTGTTGCCAGACTGGCAACTAACAATGGTAGCCTCTTTTCTGGTGGAGAGAACCGTGAGGGTCACGTGGAAGGGTAGAAAGAGGAAGGGGAGGCAAGCTGTTGTGGAGCAAGAGCTGGTCCTCTGCAGTGTTGTGAAATCTGTGGTTTGTCTTTGAGGCTTGGTTCCATCAGGCACCCCAAATCCATGGTCTGAACTTCAGATCCTTCCTCCACGGTGTTCGTGTGCTTCAGCTACTTGTTGCTTGCCTGTCACCCCAAACAAAAGCCCCGTCTTTGAGAAAGCTTGTTTTAGGTGTTTCTGTAGAAGGGTATTGGAAACTAACTCATGTGTATTGAGGTATGGATGAAGATTAGTCCTGTTCCCCTCTCAGTGGGGAGGCAGCATTGTAGGATTAAAGGTTCTGAGTCAGGCCTGTGCTTTACGTCCATTGTGTGACACTGTAAAAGTAACTCTGCCATTTAGCCTGTTTGCTCATCTGTAAAATGGAATGATGAAATGTACATCTCTTAAGGTTGTTGACAGGTTTAAACGGTTCCTTAATTCTGAAAAGAGGAGATTTGTTAACCTAGAGGAATCTCTCAGTTGGTGAGATTTCAGACACTGCAACAAAATGAACACATTTGGGCAGTGTGTGAAGACTGGGTGTGAAGTCAGTCCCCTTGAGTTTTAGCCTCCCTTTCCTTGATTCCCTAGGGGTCATTCTGTGTCCGTCCCACAGGGGCTTGCTCCAGGTTTTCTCGGGGTGGGGGTGAGGGTGGGGGATCCTACAGGTGGTTTAAGTCTGGCTTTGTACCAAGGGTCTTCACACATACGCAGTTTTTCAGTCCAGCAAATATTAATTGAAATCCTGTGTGCCCAGTCTCAGTCAAGGCATTGGTGAAGGAGAGGCAACAGCAGTGAACAAAACAGATTTAAAAAAATCCGTCTCTATGAAGCATAGCTTCTGCTGGGATCTTTGTAAGTTAGCCTACCTGTCAGTAGTTTCTAAACCTATGGGTTTATATGAAATCTAAATCTTCTGCTGTTGCAGTAGGAACTTAGGAATTTATTTTAGAAACAGAAATGGTGATATAAATCTGTTAAAATTATTCGTGTTAAGAAAATGATTTAAAATTGGAATACTTGGGTATTTTACATTATAATCTTGATTTAATGAGTTTAACAATTTTTTAGTTTTAGAAAAAATAGTGCATCTTTATGACCTTGATGCTCTTATAATTTTGAATTGAGGAGAATTCTTGACATGTTTATTGAGGACTTACTGCACGTTGACACTAAGCAAAGTAATGCTCAGATTACACACAAAGTTATCAGACAGGTCCTGGTGGAAAAACAGCTGTGGCCAATACGTGAAATTCATGAAAATTTGTTTTGAGGGTGTTTGATAGAAATGAACATAAAGACAAAAGAACTTTATAGTTTTCCTAGAGTTGAACCTGATGGCTCATTTTGAAGCTGTGGATTGATTTATGAAACTAGAAACCTTCCTGTTCGCTTTGCAGTGCTACTATCAGTTTGGCACGTGTGAATTTCTGAATAACATTTATTTGTCCTATCCCTTTAAAGAGCAAATAGTCAATTTTTTTCTTAGGCACTTTGGTATTTTAAAAGTATATTTTGGCAAGTGCTATACTTTACGTAGTATACTTTATGAGATATCTTATAAACAAGTGTACTTTAAAAATATGTCTTTGTCATTAAGTCGAATGCATTGGTGGGTGTAGAATCATTTGCCTGGGGCTAACACATTTTATATTTTAACTGGTAAAGAATTCGTGTTTAGAAACGGAGTTTTGAAGGAACATGTCTTGTATTTATGCACAGATCACGGTTGCTTTCTTATTACTTACTCAAATGGTGAGCTTAGAACTAGGAGCAAAATATTTAGTACCTTTGCGGAGCAGCCTAGCTAGGGTCTGCTGTGGAGCAGACATTGTAAATGTGCTTTATGTGTGTGCACACTAACTTTTTGTTTGGCCCCAGAGTGGGGGTTGGGAGAGGAGAAAGCCCTGTGTTGATGATGTGATTATGTATGCAGATGTGCTGGTGGGGAAGAGTTTAGTATCGGCCACTTCTTGCTTTGCATAGAAATTTTCAGGATTGGATGTTACAGCCTTAGAGAATAATTTTACCAAATAATAAATCTTGTTTTGCTAACTTGCTTAGGGATACAATAAAACTCAAAAAAGTGAATCTTAGGTTTTCATGTTTAAAAATGTAATCCTATTAGACGAAGCCTTTAATGGTTCCTTTAATGAATCTGAAATCGGTTTTTAGAAATTCTCATGAACAGTGGAGGAGATTGATGCGAAAACAGGATTTGGGTGAAAGGGGTCATGTAATGTTTGAATTCATAACAGCAAAGGCAGGGGCTATTGGACACAGATTTCAAAATATTCAGAGAAAAAGGATATATGATCATGGGAGCAGGGTCTCTGAACATTCAGAAAGAGCTGGAGGCTCTAAAAATCAAATTTTAACATAAATAGGCTGGCAAGAGAAAAGGGGATGTATATAATAAATTATATTTATGTTGAACTTTACAGCTTATGACATGTTTTTACATACCGTGTTTTTCCTTCACATTTGAATGATGATTTCCATTAGCCTATAAATATTTGAATTTTTTTAAAAACCACTTGATCTCTCCACCAAATCCCTGTCCTGCTACCACCCCATTTCTCTCTTACAGCGAACCTCTAAACGTTATCTACATTTACTGCCTCTGATTTTTCCTCCTGCTGCTCTTCTCTTTGTGAAGGTCTTCTATTGCCGTGCCAGTGATTTTGATGAAGACGTGGCATATGTAACATATATTTGATAGCAGGGTCAGAATTGCAAAGATCTTAATGTGTACAATGATGGGCTATATAGCTTTAAAAAAATTAATAGGAATGAAGACATAGATTTGGGTTAAAAAAAAATCACCTTCATGGAGGGGAGCAGAAGGGAGCTAAGGCTTAGCTACCTGTCAGATGACAAAGCTTGTGAGCTCTCACTGACCTCACCCCACCTTGCCCTGTCTAATCTTGCGCTGCATTTGGGCCTCAAGACTAGATAACTTCTGAGATCCCTCCCGCCTTGAATAAGGTGTGACTGTAAATTGGTAAGACATGTCTTTTATTTTATTTTAAGGACAGGGTCTTGCTCTGTTGCCCGGGCTGGAATGCAGTGGTGTGGTCATAGCTCACTGTAGCCTTGACCTCGGGGAGTTGAGTGATTGATCCTCCTGCCTCAGTCTCCCCAGTAGCTGAGACTGCAGGTGCATGCCATTATACCTGGCTAATTTTTTTATTTTTATTTTTATTTTTATTGTATTTTATTTTTTAGAGACAGAGTTTCGCTCTTGTTGCCCAGGCGGAGTGCAATGGCGCGATCTCGGCTCACCGCAACCTCCACCTCCCGGGTTCCGCCTTCCTGCCTCAGCCTCCCTAGTAGCTGGGATTACAGGCATGTGCCACCAAGCACGGCTAATTTTTTGTATTTTTAGTAGAGATGGGGTTTCTCCATGTTCATCAGGCTCGTCTCGAACTCCCAACCTCAGGTGATCTGCCCGATACCTGGCTAATTTTATAGATTTTTTATAGAGACAGGGTCTCGCTGTATTGCCCAGGCTAAGACAAATCTTTTTAAACAAACTTGCTAGACTATACCCATGAGGGACAGTGTTGTTCTTGTCCCTCATGTTGGGGAGTATATTAGTCATATTGGGAAGGTATATTAGTCTGTTTTCATGCTGCTGATAAAGACATACCTGAGACTGGGAAGAAAAAGAGGCTTAATTGGATATACAGTTTCACATGGCTGAGGAGGCCTCAGAATCATGGTGGGTGGCAGAAGGTACTTCTTACATGGCGGCAGCAAGAGAAAATTAGGAAGATGCAAAAGTGGAAACCCCTGATAAAAACCATCAGATCTGGTGAGACTTATTCACTATCACGAGAATAGTATGGGGGAAACCGCCTCCATGATTCCAGTTATCTCCCACTGGGTCCCTCCCACAGCATGTGGAAATTATGGGAGTACAATTCAAAATGAGATTTGGGTGGGGACACAGAGCCAAACCATATCAGAGGGCGTGTGTATGTGTACACATATATGCACATATTATGCAGCAGTGAAAACATTAAACATTATTAGGATGACACTGTTTAATGTTTGTGATATTACCTTTTTGATTGAATAATTTTATAAAGTCTGCAATATGTAAAATTTTTATCTTTTCTTGATAGATTTGAATTTGGACAATAATTGAAAGTTATTCCGAGGCAGTTGTGAATAAGATACCTGCTTAAGCAAGGTAATGAAAGTTTAATTAAAAAAAGAGAGAAACTATAAAGGAAGGAAACATTTTTTTCTGTGTTTGTGAACTCTTTCTTTACATAGTTGTTTTTTTTTTTTTGAGACAGAGTCTCACTCTGTCGCCCAGGCTAGAATGCAGTGGCATGATCTTGGCACACTGCAACCTCTGTCTCCTGGGTTCAAGCAATTCTCCTGCTTCAGCCTCCTGAGTAGCTGGGATTACAGGTGCCCACCACCACACCCAGCTAATTTTTTGTAGTTTTAGTAGAGACGGGGTTTCACCATGTTAGCCAGGATGGTCTCGATCTCCTGACCTCATGATCCGCCTGTCTCGGCCTCCCAAAGTGCTGGGATTACAAGTGTGAGCCACCGTGACCGGCCTAGTGCCTGTACTTTAACCACTTCTTTGTACAGCTTCCCAAGTGGGTTTAATAAATTATGATATATCCACTCAGTGGAGTGTTACACAGCCATAAAACGGGAACATTGTGAACTACGATTGTGTTAAATTTATTTACAGTGGGTGAGGACTCCAGATAGGATGCAGACATAAAAATGGTTGTGTTATATCGATTAGATAATGGGTGACATTTCTCTTAAAAATTATTGTTAATTTTTACTATGAAAGGGGAAAATTTTCCATGAAAGGACAGGGGGAAAAGTTGTACCTTCTGAAGGGGACAACCAGGAACGAGTAGGTCTTTGCAAGATTTTTTTTTTTTTTAAATTCATTCTGTAGCTCCAAGAACAAAATGAATTCCAAGCATTGGTTAGGATTATTAAGGAACTGGAGGATACTAGGAAAATGTTGAAAAAGGCGTGTTTTTTCTCTAGTAAGAAAAGAGGCACTCTAGGACCAAGACAACTTGGTCCAAATATGAAGCAAGCTAAAATATGTCATAATTTTGAGCAGTTTGTGAATCCTAGAGAGAAGTAAGTGGAATCCTAGTTCAGGACTTGGCTTTTAGTGTAATATTTATATGCTGATGATATTAATGCTCTTACTGGTTTTGTGGTTTTCACTGCTTAGAACTAATCTGTAGTTAAAGCATGGAAGACTTAATTCTAGTTACAGAGCAGAAAGCTTGAGACTCTACAAACACAGATGACAAAGGTGGAGAAATGGAAGAGAGAAAAGTTAGGGAGGGCGAGGGAGTCAGTGTATTCATCTCACAGGATGGGGATTCAAGAGATAGTTTCTAGTTGCGAAGCTAGAAAGGTTTAAAAACAGAGGAAAATGAACATAACAATAAAATTGGGAAGAAGGGGAGATGAAGAGTAAGTGAACACACAATCCTAATTAGTGACATCATATATCTGCACACAATTTCCAAAGTTGGCAAACCAAGAAATGATGGCTAGAGACCTGTTTGGAACGGTGGAATAGACCACCAGAAGAACTAAAAACTGTTGGAAGTGGTTGCCTCTGGGGACTATGGGCAGGTAGGGTGACTGGGGCAGGTGTGTGTCATTGCAAGCCATTGAATGAATTTGCTTTTTTCATAGATGCATGCAGTTAAGATTCCCACTCTTTTCCCTTTGCTTGCTGCAAATGAATCTGCTCCCTATTTTTATTTTTTCTCATTTGAGAAGCTCATTATTTTCCCAGCATCTTCTCCAACTCCAGTGACATGCTGTGGAATTTGAGATTGTGCACAAACTAAACAGTATTTCAGGAGACTCTGAAATCAGGGAAAGCTACTGTTAAATTGATTTTATTCCATAAATAGGCTTAAATCCATGGACATAAAATAATTTATTATAATAGGTCCTACGTTGCCTAGCTCATAGTGTTTCCATTTTCTCTGGCACTTCCCTCCTTCCCCAGTCCACTGTGGCAGGCTCTCAGCGGTAATGGAATTGGGCACAGTGTGATTGTGTCCTTTGTCCCCATTGGGTAGAATGAGTTATCTTTCAGCCCCCTCCTGGCTTCTCACTTCTCTTCTTTTTTGATGTAATTCCATGAAATCACCTCTTTTTCCTCTGTCTTCCAAAAATAATTTTGTATTTACAGAAGTCTTTTGTAAACACAAAATTTCCATTGTGGATGAACCATGTACCGTTGGTCTTTCTCATGCTTCCTACAGCTCAACAGCTGAGTGTTGCTGGGAAAAGTCTTAGGTTTGAGATCAGACATGTTAAGAAAAACCAAATGGGCACTTAACAGTGTCCAGTAATCCAAAAATATTTTCTTGTAATGAAATAAGACAACACTGAGACAGGAATTGTTTTCTCTCCACGTACCTCCTGTTACCTCCTCCCGTATCTTGATTTTTAGCCTAGGCCTCTCTAGGTTCATGCGCTTGGCTTCCTATTGGTATCTTTACTTCAGTGTCACAAAGACATCTCCAAATTGATAAGCTCCAGATGGAGCTTTGATTCATTTTTTCACCTCCCTATCTGCTACCACTGCTCTCCAGTCTTTCCCATCTCAATAAATGACATCGCCATCCACCCTTGTTATTTACACAAATTAGGACCATCCTTGCTTCTTTGGCTCACATTCCACATCTAATCCATCCTTCATGATTTACCTCTAGAATGGATCGTACGTATCTGTTGTTTGACATTTTCACGGCTGCCGCCTTAGTTCAGGCAACTATCATTTCCTACTCTCTTTTTCTTGGTCTCTCTGCCTTTTTTCTTAACTTCTTTCAATCTTTTCTTCTATAGTAGCCAAAATAATCTTAAAGGTTCACCCAGTCATGTTACTGCTTGCTTAAACCCCTGCAGTGGCTCGTCATCATCCTTAGAACGGACATCAGAAGTCTCTGTGCAGTATGAGGTGTTCACTACCTGGTCTAGCTCCAGCCCCTTCCTCCTCCCCACCCCCAGGTCATTTCACCCTTACTCACCTTCTGAAACCATTCTGATATTCTTTCAGTTCCCAGGGCTTCTATGTCTTCTTTACAGTGTGTGCCCTCTGGTTGGCATCCCACAGTGTTTGCTATATTAGTGGAACTTTACAAAAATTCTTGGGTTCTGTAAAATGGCCAGTTAACGGGACAGATTGAGAATCTTAGAATGTAATGGCCATTAGTAGTCAACAAGTCAAGTCCCCCATCTGAGGCTTCAGCATTCCAGTCAGATACTTGTACAGGTTAAGATTGAACAAATGTGACAGAAGTCTACCACATTCATCTCTGGCAAACCCAATGTTAGAAAGTCTTTTTCATCTGGAAAAAAATGGTTCAGGTATTTATAGACACTTTCCTTGTCTGATTCAAGTCCTCTAACCTTTAGGCTTCATATCCCTATTTATTTTGACCATTCTTGGGAATATGGTATCTTAAACCTCAGAATGCATTTGTCTATTAATATTCCACTTAAAGGGTGTAGTAGGTGCTGTAGTCTCAATGTTGGTGTCCCACCCAAATTCATATGTTGAAGCTCCATTTCCAATGTGATAGTGTTAAGAGGTGGGGCCTTTGGTGGTGATTAGGTCATGAGGGCAGAGCTCTCATGAATGGGATTAGTGCCCTTATAAAAGAGGCTGGGGGGACCGGGCTCAGTGGCTCACACCTGTAATCCCAGCACTTTGGGAGGCAGAGGCAGGTGGATCACGAGGTCAGGAGATCGAGACCATCCTGACCAACATGGTGAAACCCCATCTCTACTAAAAAAATAAATAACAAAAATTATCTAGGCGTGGCTGTGCGTGCCTGTAGTCCCAGCTACTCAGGAGGCTGAGGCAGGAGAATTGCTTGAACCTGGGAGGCAGAGGTTGCAGTGAGCCAAGGTCGTGCCACTGCACTCCAGCCTGGGTCACAGAGTGAGACTCCGTCTAAAAAAAAAAAAAAAAAAGAGGCTGGGGGAGGGGGAAGCATGTTTGCCCTTTTCTGCCATGTGAGGACACAAAGAAGTCTCCATTGATGAAGCAGACAGCGGGCTCTGACACCACATCTGCTGGTGCCTTGAACTTGGACTTCCCAGCCTACAGAACTATGTGAAACAAATTTGTGCTGTTTATAAATTACCCAGTCTAAGGTATTTTGTTACAGCAGCCCGAAAGGACTAAGAGATGAGTTAAATAGTGTCCACAAAAATTCATGTCCCCCTAGAACCTCAGAATGTGCCCTTATTTGGAAATAGGATCTCTGCAGATGTAATTAGTTGAGGATCAGGATAAAATCATTTCAGTTTACTGTGGGCCCTAAATCCAACGACTAATGTCCTTATAAGAAGAGGAAAAGATACAGGAAGACACACAGAGAAGGCGGCCATAGGAAGAAGGAGGTTACAGAGATGGCATCATTCTGCCACAAACCGGCGGGTGCAAAGGATGGCTAGCAGCCATCAGACGCTGGGAGAGGGGCTGGAGGTGGTTTTTCCCTTGAGCCTCCAGTAGGAATCAGCCCTGCTCACACCAGACTTTGGGGCCCCAGAACTGTGAGACAATGAGACTATGTTGTTTTAAGCCACCAAGTTTGTGATGTCTTGCGGCCGCCACTGGAAACTAATACAAAGAGAATCCCAGCGTTGAACACAGGCATGCAGGGTTAGCTTTGCCAGCACAGGAGAGAGTCGAGCTATACTTTCTTCATCCTTCTGGATGTGCCTGAAGTCACGTCAGTTGTTGTGGTTTTTTCCAAAAGACCATCCTGAGCCCACTGTTGATTAAACTTCCAGTGTTTTCCACCGAGGCTGCTCCTAAGCCATCAGCCATTTCATTCAGCCTTTCAGGATACTTGCTGAATCCTGATGCGTCACCCACAGTCTTTACTCTTTCTAGCAGCTTGTGTCACTAGTGAATGCATGAACATAGCTTTTTTTTTTTTTTTTTTTTTTTTTGAGACGGAGTCTCGCTGTCGCCCAGGCTGGAGTGCAGTGGGACAATCTTGGCTCACTGCAGGCTCCGCCCCCCCGGGGTTCACGCCATTCTCCTGCCTCAGCCTCCCGCGTAGCTGGGACTACAGGCGCCCACTACCTCGCCCAGCTAATTTTTTGTATTTTTAGTAGAGACGGGGTTTCACCGTGTTAGCCAGGATGGTCTCGATCGCCCGACCTCGTGATCCGCCCACCTCGGCCTCCCAAAGTGCTGGGATTACAGGCGCCCGGCCGAACATAGCTTTCTGTATCTTCATCTAGGTTAGTGGTTCTTAGCCTTTTGCTTTATAGATCCCCTTTGATAAGTGATGAAAGCGGTGTACCTTTCTCCAGAAGACTACGTATTTATGTAGAGATACACAGAACTTTTAATAAGGTTAGGAGGCCAGTTGCCTCTTGAAGCCCCAAGTTAAGAATCCCTGCGCTAAGTTAGGGTGGAAGTGCTGGCAAGTGAACGGACAGGCCCTCGCGGTGTGTTGGTAAAAATCTAGGCTGCTGGGCGTTATTCCATTAATCAGCACTCTTCAAGGATGGCCGTTTCACAGAGTTCTAACTCACTTTATTGACTTTGCATTTAGCATGTGTTTCTTCAGCTTATGATACCATAAAAGACATAATCAGATGCTTTGCTGGAAAAAACAAGGATACTCTATGTACTTTGTTCCTGATTGGCTAGGCCAGGAGCCACTGCACGGAAGGAAAAGAAGTGAATCTTTCATGGCTTAGCCTTGGTGTGTTAGTTTCTTATTGCCGCAGTAACAAATCACCAAAAACTAGGTGGCTCACAGCAACACCAATTTACTCCTCTTACAGTTCTGGGGGTCAGAATTCTGAAATGAGTTTTACTGGCCTCAGTGAGACCAAGGTGTTGGCAAGACTGCGTGGCTTTGGAGCTCTCAGGGGGAATCATTTCCTTGCCTTTTTCAGCTTGTAGAAGCTGCCTGTGTTCCCTGGCCCATGGCCCCTTCCCCCATCTTCAAGTCTCTGACTTTGACTTTCTCCGTCTGTCACCCACATTTAAAAGACACTTGTGATTACATTGGGCCCACCCAGACAGTCCAGGAGAATCTCTTTATTGTAAAGTCAGCCGATGATCAACCTTGTTTCATCTGCAACCTAGTTCCCCCTTGCTCTGTAACCTGATGTATTCACTGACAGGTCCTGGGGATTGGGAGATGGACGTCTTTGAGGGAGCCGTCGTTCTGCCTCTCTCACGTAGCAGGCCTGTGCTGGCACCCCACCATTACAGCTTTCTCTTCACACTGTCTGCAGATTATTCCTTCAGTAATCATTTGTGAAATTTTTCTAAGGCTTAGCAGGACCCTAATGGGTCAGTTGTTTTCACGGCTCACCTTCATTGTTTCGTATCAGTGCTCTGTACACGGGTTGGTTTTCCAACATTTCTTTTCTATGACTCCTTAAAGGTCAGTGATGCACCTTCTCATTTGCATGTTATCAGCAGACTAATTCATCTGGATCAGAAAAATCCTAAATTCCTGTGGGACAGCTGCCTCAAGTATTCATTCATCAAATAATTATTAAGCACCTACTGAGTTCCAGACAGGACAGGAAGTTCCTGCATGCTGTTGCTGTCTGGTGGGGGGAAGTAAAAGGAGTCAGCTCTTGTGTCCTATCTGGGGAAAGCAGACCGTTACACAGGTCATAACACGATTATTTAATCATAGTCTTGGGAAAGCATCGGGATGCTGAGAGCATAAATGGCAGAAGAGACTCAGTCTAGGGTGGTCAAGGCGTCCCTGAAGAAATGATGTTTCAGCTGAGACGGCAGCATGAGCAGATATTACACTGAGAGGGGGCAGAAAGGAGGATGTTTCAGTCCAAGGAAATATACACGAAGACTAAAAGGTGCAAAAACTGTGATGTACTTGTGGAATTTGAAAGGAGTTAGAGAGTAAGGGGGAGAGTGGGGCACAGTAGAGTTGAAAAAGTCAGTGTTTTCCAGGCCTTGTTAGGATTTTGGACTTTATATAAGAGGAATGGAAAACTATTGGAGGGATTTTTGTTGGTGTTTTAAGATTTTTTAATTGTGGTAAAATAACGTATAAATTGACCATCTAACTGTTAAGTCATGGTAAGTACATTTCCACTGTTGTGCGACCCATCTACAGAACTCTTTGTCTTGCAAAATGGAAACTCTATACCCATTATACCAGCTGGGTGCAGTGGCTCAGCCTGTAATCCCAGCACTTTGGGAGGCTGAGGTGGGCAGATCACTTGAGGTCACGAGTTCGAGACCAGCCTGGCTAACATGGTGAAACCCCATCTCCACTAAAAATACAAAAATTAGCGTTAGCCAGGCGTGGTGGTGTGCACCTGTAGTCTCAGCTACTCAGGAGGCTGAGGCAGGAGACTCGCTTGAACCCGGGAGGCAGAGGTTGTAGTGAGCCGAGATCACACTACTACACTCCAGCTTGGGCGACACAGCAAGACTCCATCTCAAAAATAAAAAATAAAAACATACCCATTAAATGACAAGACTCCATTACCCCCTCTGCCGCAGCCCCTGCGAACACCACTCTACTTTCTGTCTCTATGAATTCGACTAGGTTAGTTCCTCATAATTTGTAACTGGATTATTTCACTTAGCATATGTCCTCAGGTTCATCTGTGTTGTAGCATGTGTTAAAATACTGTTGAAGAATTTTAACCTGGGGAATAAAGTGACCAGATTTTTAAAAATTAGCACACATTTTTACCAGCTGTAACATACACTGAAAAATACACAACCGTAAGTCTGCAGCCTGATGACTTCCCACAGAATGAACACACTGATGTAGCCATGAACCTAGTGGAGAAGTTGAGTGTGGCCAGCTTTGCAGACCACCTCAGGTCCCTTCCAGTCACGGCTCCTTCCCTCCTCGCTCCCCAGCAGTAACTTCTGTCCTCGCTTTGACACCGTAGTTTATACCTGTTCCTTAACTTATGTGTAAAGGACAGCTTTTTACCTGCAGCACTCTGATACCAAATGTGTGGATTTTCAACATCAATTGGATGTCCTACAGTTTAATTCAATTCTGACACTAACTACCTGGTAAAGTTAGCGCAGACCCCACAGGTAAAGGGCCTAGTCCCACAAAACCGCCCCCTACTTCAGACACCGGTTGTAGGTAGTGGGACAAAGGGTACCCACACATCTGTCTTGACTTGGCTACAATTCAGGAGGTTCCCGTAACGCCCTACTCAGTTTGATAATTTGCTATATAACAGCTCATAGAACTCAGGAAAACACTTTACTTACTGTCCCTGTTATTATAAAGGGTGTTATGTAAGATACAAATTAAGAGCCGGATGGAGAGGTACATAGGGTAAGGTCTGGAAGGGTCCCATGACCAGGAGCTTCTGTCGCGGTATTGCGGGGGTGTAATAATCCTCTTGGCATACGCCTAGCCCAAAGCTACCTGAACCCTGTTGTTTAAAGTTTTTAGGGAGGCTCCATTACACATTACACATGATTTTTTTTTTTTGAGACTGAGTTTCGCTCTGTCACCCAGGCTGGAGCGCAGTGGTACGGTCTTGGCTCAATGCAGCCTCCACCTCCTAGGTTCCGGCAATTTCCTGCCTCAGCCTCCCTAGTAGCTGGAATTACAGGCATGCACCACCATGCCCGGATAGTTTTTGTATTTTTAGTAGAGATGGGGTTTCACCATGTTGGCCAGGCTGGTCTCAAACTCCTGACCTCGGGTGATCCTCCCGCCTCGGCCTCCCAAAGTGCTGGGATTACAGGCGTGAGCCACTGTGCCCACCCCGACACAGACATGATTGATTTAAGTCATTGGCCATTGGATTGGCTCAACCTTTAGCCCCTTGCCCCTCCCCAGAGGTTTGAGGGGCTGGGAGTTGGGCTGAAAGTTTCAGTCCTCTAATTACATGATTGGTTCCTCTGGCAACCAGACCCCATCTTCCAAGAGTCACCTTATTAGCACAGACGCTGGTATGGTTGAAAGGGGCTTATTTTGAATAAGAAAACATGCTCCTCTCACCCCTGTCACTCAGGAAATTACTAACGTGTTAGGAATTCTATGACAGAAACCAGGGATGAAGACTAAATATGTATTTCTTATTATATCACAATATACATGGAATCACGGTATGCCTTCTTGTGACTAGTTTCTTTTGCTCACATCATGTTAGTGAGATGAATTCATGTTACTGCATGTAGCAGTGGTTTTGTCGGTGATCTGCTTTATGAATATGTGGTAGTTATGCATTCTGCTGTCCATGGGCCTGTGGGTTTCCTGCTTTTTGGTGGTTAAGAACAATGCAGTCCAGTCATGAGCATTGTATGTGTCTTTTGTACACATATATACACATTTTATTGGGAATACATTTGAGTGTCCATAAGACACTCTTAAGAGAGGAAGAATTGTCTTCTTTCTCTGAGTCTTCTTTCAAGCCCAACGTGTCCAACATGGTTCATCTTTCCTAATCTTTTCCTCCTCTAGTGTTTGCTGTCTGTCGGTAACACCACCTCTGCCCAGTGTGTTTTGCCAGAAACTGAGGCATTTCCCTCTTTAGACCCCCCACTCCCATATCTAAGTAATTACTGGGTCCTATTGATCCAAACTCCTAAATATCTCTAAAATGTGGTCTGTTTCTCTCCACACCTGTTGCAGCCTCCTCTGGTCTGTGGCTCCCTTCTAGCCCATTCTCTATAGTAACAGGACACAGACTTTCTCTGTTGCACATCCACATGTAGCCCCAGGGTATGCATTAAACTCATAAATGTCATACATACACTATTAGGGTTTTTTTTTTTTTCCCCACAGATACTATCTTAAGGCTCAACACTTAGGCTAAGAGTAACAGCGGGAATAAATCTATATTTCTGATAGTCTTCATGATATTTTCTAGTTTTTTGACTTTCTTTTCCAAATCTGATTGGTGGTGATGGTTTGTTTGTTTTTTTGTTTTTGTTTTTGTTTTTTTTTAAGACCCAGTTTCGCTCTGTCGCCCAGGCCAGAGTACGGTGACACCATCTCAGCTCACTGCAACCTCTGCCTCCCGGGTTCAAGCAATTCTCCTGCCTCAGCCTCCCGAGTAGCTGGGATTAAAGGTGCCCACCACCATGCCTGGCTAATTTTTGTATTTTTAGTAGAGACAGGGTTTCACCCTGTTGGCCAGGGTGGTCTTGAACTCCTGACCTCAGATGATCCACCCACCTCAGCCTCCCAAAGTGAGAGGATTACAGCCATGAGCCACGCACCAGTTGTAATGGTGATGGTTGTTTTTTAACCCTTTATAGTAGCTAAAAAGAGAGAAGTATCAGCTCTACCAGTTTATTTTTGCTGGGGTTTTTAAAAAAAGGCATTTGTCCATTTGATGAGGGACAATTTAGTAAAAAGTGGATCATTTCGTCTGTAAATCCTGTAACTGAGTAGTGTATGGCTATTATACTGTTGGCAGTATTATCTGAAAACAAACGGATGAATGAGAGAGTCACTACCATCCCTGTTGCATTTCAGAAATCCCTCTCTTTATTTAGGACAACTGGTATACCACATGAGACAGACAGACACACAGACACATACGCGTGCGCGCGCGCACACACACACACACACGCACACACACACAAAGTCATCTGACATTCAGGTTGAGGAAAGCAGCCAGTGTTAATCCTTAATTAAATGCCAGTAAAACTTAACTTACTTCTAGCTGGGCATGGTGGCTCAGAGTGACTCCTTCTCAAAGAAAAAAAAAATTGCATTTTTTGTTTGTTTGCTGTTTTTTTTTGTTTTTTTTTTTTTTTTTTTTTTTTTTTTTTTTGAGACAGAACCTCACTCTGTTGCCCAGGCTGGAGTATAGTGGCTCGATCTCAGGGCCTGGCTAATTTTTGTATTTTTAGTAGAGATGGGTTTTCACCATGTTGGCCTCAAATTCCTGGCCTCATGAGATCTGCCCGCCTTGGCCACCCAAAGTGCTGGGATTACAGGTGTGAGCCACCACTCCTGGCCAAAATTTATTTCTTGTTACCAATAACCAGCAGAGTAATTTTTTAAAAACTCAAATACATTTAGGAACACCCATAGATAAAAGATCAATAAAACAAAAATTAAGTCAGTTGTAGTTCTATATGCCAGTAACAAACAATTAGAAAATAAAAATTTCACAATATCATTTAAAGTAATATTGGCACTGAAAACTGCAAAGCACTGTTGCAAGGAATTAAAGATGTAAATAAACAGACTTTTCATGTTCATAGGTCCAAAGACTTGTTTTGTTAAGGTACCTGTGCCCTCCAAATTGACCTACACATTCAGACCATCCTGTGAAAATACCAGAACTTCATATGGAAGTAAAAGGGACTCACAGTAGTCAAAACAATCTTGAAAACAAATAATAAAATTAAGAGAATTCACATTTCTCAATTTGAAAACTTACTACAAGACAGTGTGGTACTGATAGAGACATGGTAGATCAGTGGAGTAGAACTGAGAACCAGAAAGAAACCCTTTTGTCACTTGATTTTTGAGAAGGGTGCCCAGACAATTCAATAGAGGGAAAGAATAGTCTTTTCAGTAAAGGGTGCGGGGACAACTGGATATCGGAGAAGTTAGAGGGAGAGGGAGGATGCGAAAGGAATGTGCATTGTCTCAAAAGCTAAGTGGGCATCTGCATCTGACCCTGGCCTGGAGGGTGACATGCCACGGGGTGGAAGGAATTCTTTGCATTTGGTGATATAATGCAAAGTGCCTAGAAATTGGGAAGAAAGCGATTGTATCATTTTTTAAGTTTGCAAATCCTAGGACAAAGAAAGCTGGGTCGTTACAAATCATCTCAAGAAACAATATGAGTGATTAATTGAAGAAACCAGCATGAATGCATAAGATATAAACAGCTGTTCTACTGAAATGAAGTAAAAATAGGTAACAGAGAAACCTATTCTAAGAATGTATTTGCTGGCCGGGCGCAGGGGCTCACACCTGTAATCCAGCACTTTGGGAGGCCGAGGCGGGCAGATCACGAGGTCAAGAGATGGAGCCCATCCTGGCCAACATAGTGAAACCCCATCTCTGCTAAAAATATAAAAATTAGCTGGGTGTAGTAGTCCCAGCTACTCGGGAGGCTAAAGCAGGAGAATCGCTTGAACCTGGGAGGCAGAGGTTGCAGTGAGCCGAGATCGTGCCACTGTACTCCAGCCTGGGCGACAGAGTGAGACTCTGTCTCAAATTAAAAAAAAAAAAAAAAAGAATGTATTTGCTTTTTTACAGTCTCTGCACTCATTGTCAGTGTCATGTAGCCGTGCTTGTTGCAGTTCTCAGGTTATTCTCTGTGGTAGAGAAAGCAAAAGCAAAAAAGTCTTGAGAAATGTTTCCATCCATCATTTAGTTGGCCCTGGGCAGTAAACCTATTTCTTTCCAACTCTTCTTGCTCTGAATATACTTAAAAAAATAATAAAACTTTTGTGAGAAGTAGCTTTGCTTGTTCCTATCATTACTGGCAACCTTCAACTTTCTGGGCTTTTTAAAGAAAAGCTGTGTAAGCCTGTACCATCATCTTGTGTTTGCCTTTTCAGGTTTTGTTTGAGTCCTCCTTAAAGCTTAATTTGTCTTGTGTGTTCTTGCTGCTTTCTTCATAAAATGTGTCATTTTCTTTCTCATCAAGATGATTTGTTACTGAGCTTTGTTTGCCCAGGATTTTGTAAACTCTGAAATGATACGTTGCTTTCTTCCATGTGACTTGTCACTTCTGTTCGGGGCCTGCATTGGGTTCGGGCAGCTGTTCACCGGGATATGCCTGGCCACTGTCCTGTGGGAGGCAAAGTGAATGGAAGCGGAGGGGTGAGATCTCTTCTGCAGCTCTAGGTGGTTGCAATCCCTGTCCATGCCCTATCCTGTCTGCCAGTTTTGAGATCTGTTAAAAACCTTTATCTTTACTCCATTTGGCCAGTTGACCTCGGCATGCTCCCGCATCGAAGTCTAATTTAGCTTTCTGCCTCTCAGAGGTGTTCTTGAGTGCTTCTGTTTACTTGGGATTCCTTGAAGGACGTACATTATCTTGACATAAAATCCTTTTTTTCCCTCTGAATAATAGTGTGCTTTCCATCATTATAGGCCAATCTTGAGACCTGCCTCAACAAGTGTCACTGATTATTTTCTATATTTAAGGTGAACTTTAAGGTTTTTTCTTATTACTTGTATTTATTGGTTTATGGACGTCTCAGATTAAGAACACTTTAAACCTCTTATTTTCTCAGGTGAGCAATCTCTCTCAGTCTTTCTTTTTCTGTAATCCTCCGTAGGGACTGATTTTATGATTTCCCTTGTATTCTCTTCCTCCCTCCCTCCTCACCAATTTAGCTTAAAGTCCTTTGGTTGCTGGACAGATGGCTTCTTCCCTGTTAGTGTGAGCTGCATGGCTCCTGGCCTGTCATTACATTTTAAATTATGGTCCAGATAGCCCAGTCTTTGTCATTACTGTCATTGCATCGAGTCATTAGTACTGGAAATACTCATACTAGAAGAAAGAAGTGATGAAATAAAACAAGCTTGCTCCCACATTCTTTTCTGCCCAAGAGTTAGTAGTGCCTTCAGGCGCTGCTCTGGATCAAGGGTGGTGTCCTTGTGTCCCTATGTGTGGCAGCAGCAGTGGGAAGTTGAGTCTCCATATGGCCACTTGGTTTCCAACAGGAATTTTCGTCCTTTGTGTTTCAGTAGATGATGCTGTTAGCCAGAACTCTACACTGGAAAGACGTCACATGTGAGAGGAAGCTAATAAGTTTGGACTGCTCAGTATTCATGGAGAAATGTCAAGCAGGCAGGTGAATATTAAACAGAAAAGCTCAAGAGGGAGATTTAGATTTAGATTGTGATGTACACAGGTGGTAGTCGAAGGCAGGGGAGTGGATGATACTGTCCACTGAGAAAAGAGGGCCTGGGACAGACCTTGGCGAGGGTCTAGCAGTGGAAAGTGAGAAAGAATAGTTAGAGAGGTGGGAGGAAAACTTGATGGATAGGAGCCAAGAGAACAGAGAGCCTCGGGAAGAGTTGTACTCAGTACTGTAATTCCTTTGTGGAACGAAGAGTGATGTGGATAAACAATTAACACTTATATTGCACTGTGACACCAACTTTGTATGAGGACCAAGCTCTAATTTTCAGTTATTTAGATCTGTAGCATCTTGCATGAAGTATCTGTTGCATCATTTATAATAGAAATTATTATTTTTGAAATTGACTTTTCATGCAAAGTGATTTGTATTAGCCGTCATTTAAACTTACTCTTAAGATGCTTTTTATTATGTCATGGAGAACATCCAACAGATATATTTGCGTTCTAAGGATGTAAAAAATAATCAAAATCCATTTGAGATACACAGTAACTAAGTTCAGCAGACAAACAATGATGGACGGCTGCTGACAAGTGCATCTGCTGCAGTTCCACTGTTAGGACATTCCTGCCATGTTGACTGCAGCATCCAGCATTTAGGTGTCCAGAAGGTATTTTGCTGCCACCTTCTTAAAAATTCTGTACAAAGGCCGGGGCGCGGTGGCTCACGCCTGTAATCCCAGCACTTTGGGAGGCCCAGGCAAGCAGATCACAAGGTCAGGAGATCGAGACCATGGTGAAACCCCGTCTCTACTAAAAATACAAAAAATTAGCCAGGTGTGATGGCGGGCACCTGTAGTCCCAGCTACTCGGGAGGCTGAGGCAGGAGAATGGCGTCAACCCGGGAGGCAGAGCTTGCAGTGAGCCGAGATCGCACCACTGCATTCCAGCCTGGGTGACAGATCGAGACTCTGTCTCAAATAAATAAATAAATAAATAAATAAATATAATATCTATACAAAAAGGTGATAATTTGTTGTAAGAATGTATCACCTTTTTATTTACAATTGGTAATTGTAAGAATTGTCAATTAGGAGAAAAACAAGAAACACATTTAGTTTACTTTTTAAAAGTACTAGAATTGGCCAGGTTTGGTGGCTTACGCCTGTAATCCCAGCAGTTTGGGAGGTCGAGGTGGGCAGATTGTTTGAGTTCAGGAGTTCGAGACCAGCCTGGGCAACATAGTGAGACCTCATGTTGGGGTAAATACAAAAATTAGCCAGGCATGGTGGTGCATGCCTGTAGTCCCAGCTACTCAGGATGCTGAGGTGGGAGGATTACTTGAGCCCAGGAAGTTGAGCAGTGAGCTCTGATTGTGCCACTGCACTCCACCCTGGGCGACAGAGTGAAACCCTGTCTCCAAAAATAAAAATAAAAAGGACAGTGCAAGAACAACCCCGAAGTGCTGAGAGAAAATTAACAGTCTGGAATTTTTTACTTAATTAACCTGTCACTCAAGAATGAGAACAAAAGAAAGATGTTTTCAGATGTAAAATACAAGTTTACCTAACAGATCCTCATTGAAAGAACTTCTGAAGGATGTAGAATAAGGAGGAGGGAAATGGAACACAGAAGGAAAAAAGTGAGCTGTGAGGAGGACTGTGATGGTGAATTCTATGTTTCACCTTGACTGGGCCACAGGTGCCCACATACTTGGTCAGACAGTATCCTGAGAGAATTCTTGTGTTTCGGTCAGGGTGGTTTTGGACGAGGTTAACGTTTGAATGGGTAGACCGAATAAAGCAGATTGCTCTCCATAATGTGGGTGGGTCTTATCCATTCCACTGATGGCATGAATAGAACAAAAAAGTGACACTCCCTGGAGTCAGAGGGGTTTCCTCCTGCCTGACTGCCTTATGGCTGAGACCTTTGACTCTTGTGGGCGCGGAGCCTGCTGGTCTTTGGCCTGGAACTCCATCGGCTCTGCTGGGTCTCCAGCCTGCCAGCTCACCCTGCAGAGCTTGGGATTTGTCTGTCTCCATAATTGCCAGAGCCAATTCCTTATAATAAATCCCTTTGTATCTACATATCTGTATAAAGAAATAACTAGATAGAGCTAGACATAGGGAGAGTGGCCCTGCCTACACCTTGATTTTGGACTTCTGGCCTTCAGAACTGTGGGAGAATACATTTCTGTTGTTTAAGCCACCATGCTTGTGGTACTTTGTTCTGGCAGCCCTAGGAAACTAAGAGCCTTGAGGTATTCAGGAGGAGAATAGAGGTACTGATTAATTGTAGACCTTTTATCAGGTATGCATGTTAACATTTTAAGGGTAGGCACTAAAAAAATAGAACTTGAATATATAGATGAGGAAAAGGGGGAAATGAAATTCGGTCAATATATTCAGAGGCAGAAAGGAGAGGGAAAAAAAGTATAAAGAAGCTTAGAAAAGTAGAATAAATAAGAACACAATAAAATAATAGAGATGAATCCAGCTATATCATATACATATGCAAATAGACTAAGCGTGGCAGTTGAGACTCCTTTTGCAGTCTGATTTAACCTGTGGGCTGCTTCTCAGAATAGTGTTAAGTGCAGGAGTAAATAGGATTAAAGAAACCCAAGTATACTGAAACAATGTATCAAAGTATTTAAAATACTTAACATGTCTGTGACATGGTAATACTTGTACAGTTAACATTAGGGACAGGATTCAGTGGTGGGCCTAATCACCTTATCAGTATTTTGCAGTATTTGCAATAACTGTAATGTGGTTGCTGCTGGTTACAGAGTTACAGATGGTTTGTTATCTGTGTTTATAAATAAATAAAATGCTAGATTTCAGTTAGATTTTAGCAGAAATAAAGATGATTTCCCCTCATCCAAATGTCACTCAGCCCTGAATTCTATCCCCAGAGCCTTGTCAAGAATGCTTGCTGTAGCTGCTGATCTTCAAGTGGGGCTCTCCACTCCCAAATAGCTCATGTTTCCCTCGAGTGAGGGAAGGAGGCAGAGGGGTGGTACCTTAGCTGTCTCCCTGTGTCAAAGCGCTTGGAAACCAAAGAAGCTTTCTTTTTGGGTTTTGTCCTTTTTGGTGGGTTTGAATTGCCAAGTGTGGATTCTGATGAATTAAGAGCCACTGTATAAGGTTACCTTGAGGTTTGAAGTGAGCTGTTAATTGCCTACCAGCCTCTGCTTATTTAAAACAGAAAACAGAAACCTTATGTAATTCAGGCATCTGTGATCACTTCCATGCAGCCACATGCTTTAAGTGACACCTGTTTGAGTCCCAGAAGAGGGTGTGGGGCACAGAAGGATAAATGACCTAGGGTGAGCTGCACAGAAGTGAAGAGCTTAAATTACATACCTGGAGGGTTGGCTTTTTCTGTCTCCCACTGAATATGAACAGGGAGCTGTGTGACTTCATTTGCTGCTGGCAGTCATCTTATGATAAAGAGGGGACTCTTAGGATGAAGCTGAAGCTACAGATGGCAAAGGGAAGAGATGAAAAGGAACCAGATCCTGGTGACACTGCTGAGGTGCTGAATTCTTCACCGCAAAATACAGCCCTGTTCTGAGACAGGATAAATTCCCTCTTCCCGTTTTTGAGATAGCATCTCTCTCTGCCTCCCAGGGTGGAGTGCAGTGGCGCCATCCCAGTTCACTGTAGCTTTCAACTCCTGGGCTCAAGGGATTCTCCCACCTCAGCCTCCCAAAGTGCTGGGATTACAGGCATGAGCCACCGCACCTGGCCTCATTATTTTTAATCAATCTAAGTCATTGATTTTGTTACATGGAACACTGGTTCTTCCTATGTGAGTCAAGCAGAAATTGCCTAGATTCGGAGGTTAATCCTGTAGCCTTTGATAATAATATCATCCTCTAGCCTAGAAGCAGGGCAGAGCAACCTGGAAACAGACAAATTAGATACAGAGTGATTTGCCGTAAACCGGACTACAGACTCCCTTCCGTGCCCCTTCCATGTAAACCAGTTGAAATCTTGGAGAACTCCTATTAACTCATCAAGGCAGAGGTTTTGCTTGGAATGGAAGGGAATGAATTCCCTTCTGTGTGTGTAATTTTCCACTTTCCTCTCCCGATTCTTAGCATGCTGTTGACCTGATTTAGCTGTGTCTATTAGAAACTGGGTTCATAGAAGTAAAAATGAAAAATAATTTCTCAGAAGAGGGCTGCTCAGCATGAGATGTTAGTAAGCATTGTTGTTCCAATAAAAAAAAAAAAAGTGTGCTGTTGACATGGTGAACATGAACCCTGGAGAGTCCTGGGCCCACGCCAGGGAAGGCAGAGTACTCGGGAGCGTCAGTATTGAAGGTTCGACTGGAGGAAGAAGAGGCAGTAAAGACCCAAAGAATGACTGTGGTAGTGCAGGAGGAAAGCCTGGAGGAAGTGGGACGTGGGAGTGGAGAGAGGAGAGCGCTTGGCTGGGGCAGGCCAGTTTGGAGAACAAAGAGTGGCCTGAGATTTATTTTATTTATTTTTTTAGACAGAGTCTCACTCTGTCGCCCAGGCTGGAGTGGAGTGGTGCAATCTCGGCTCACTGCAACCTCTGCCTCCCAGGTTCAAGCAGTTCTTCTGCCTCAGCCTCCCGAGTAGCTAGGATTACAGGCCTACACACCACGCCAAGCTAAATTTTGTATTTTTAATAGAGACAGGGTTTCACCATGTTGGTCAGGCTGGTCTTGAACTCCCGACCTCAGGTGATCTGCCTGCCTTGGCCTCCCAAAGTGCTGGGATGACAGCTATGAACCACCACGCCGGGCCAGAAAAAAACATTTTCAATAAGACTAAACACCCAATGAAGCTAAGTAATAAAAAGAAATGTTAGGTTTAAGTGAAAGTGTAGAAGCAGTAAAATAATAAGTTATATCCATGGAAGTGGATAAAGAGAATGAAAGCTCCACCTAAGTCCAGTAGCTGCCATTAAAAATAAAATTAAGAAATTGATAACAGAAATGATGAATTGTATTTTTTCTTTGAATCATAAAATTAGAATTTGACAAAGGAAAATAAGGAAAGATAGGGTAGAAGCAGGAAATTTAAAGAATAAAGAAATTATAATCTAATTCAGGAGTAGGAAAGCAACCAGACCATAGCTGACAATGGAGGAATCTAAATCCGGGGTAACTAATTAGTCTCATTTTTATTTTTACCTCTTTTGTAGGAAGCAACTGATAGAACATTACCGTAGTCAGGATATTACCACGTGAAACAGAGAACTCTTTGCCACAAACTTTTTTTTAATGCCAGTTTTGGCTTAATTTCCCTGTTGTTTTTCCCCTTTTCCTTCATCAATCATGTTAAACATCTATGTGCCAGACATATTCGCAGGAGATGCTAGACCTCACATTCCGGAAGGAAAGCCTCAGAAGTAAACAGCCAGTTACTAATACAGTATGATAAATGCCAAGATGGATGTAACCTAAGGGTGCCATGGCAACTTGAAAAAAGCACCCAACTCAGTCTTAGGAGGCTGGGAAAGCGTTCTGGAGAAGACATTTTGGCAGAATCCTGAGGCTCAGAAGGTGGTGAGCAAGAGTGGTGGGACTGGCATTTCAGGAGGATGAAGTGACACACACAGGCTCTGAGAGGGAGAGGCACATCTTTGCCACTGTGCTGTGCGGCCGCCTGTTTTGACCATCACTGCAGAAAAATACTGTCCGAGGCTATCACTTCTGCCCCTGCAGCAGACTGACAATTCTCAGGGGTAGGAAGGAAACCCTTAGCCTACACAACATGGTGAGTGCTTCTTATGTGGCGTGTTTACATTTCTAAGAAATGAGGTTTTACTAAATCAAATGAATCAAAGAGGAGGAGAGTTTCAGACTGGTGGTGAGAGGTGACAACGTGCTAGCAGCCCCTGCTCGCTCTCGGTGCCTCCTCGCCTTGGTGTCTGCTCTGGCCACGCTTGAGGAGCCCTTCAGCCCACCACTGCACTGTGGGAGCCCCTCTCTGGGCTGGCCGAGGCTGGCCCTGGAGTTCTGCGTGGGTGTGAGCTTGGCGGGCCCTGCACCTGCCCCGGTCAGTGAGGGGCTTAGCACCTGGGCCAGCAGCTGCGGAGGGTGCGCTGGGTCCCTCAGCACTGTGGGCCTGCACGCGCCGCGGTCCACCGCGCACAGATTCTCGTGGGGCCTCAGATGCCTCCCCATGGGGCAGGGCCTGCCATGCCCGAGCCCCACCCCCCTCCGTCCACGCCACTGGAGCCTCCCCGGCGAGCGCTGCCCCCTGCTCCACGGGGCTCGGTCCCATCCACCGCCCAGGGGCTGAGGAGTGTGGGCATGCCGCACGGGATCCACTAGGGGAAGCCAGCTGGGCTCCTGAGTTGGGTGGGGTCTTGGAGAACTTTTCTGTCTAGCTAAAGGATTGTAAATGCACCAATCAGCACTCTGTGTCTAGCTCAAGGTTTGTAAAGGCACCAGTCACTGCTCTGTGTCTAGCTAATCTGGTGGGGACTTGGAGAACTTTTGTGCCTAGCTGGAGGATTGTAAATGCACCAATTGGCACTCTGTGTCTAACTCAAGGTTTGTAAATGCACCAATCAGCACTCTGTGTCTAACTCAAGGTTTGTAAACGCACCAGTCAGCACCCTGTCAAAATGGGCCAATCAGCTCTCTGTAAAATTGACCAATTAGGATGTGGGTGGGGTCAGATAAGGGAATAAAAGCAGGCTGCCCGAGCCAGCAGCGGCAACGTGCAGAGGTCCACTTCCGCGCTGTGGGAGCTTTGTTCTTTCCCTGTTTGAGATAAATCTTGCTGCTGCTCACTGTTTGGGTCCCTGCGGTCTTTATGAGCTGTAACACTCACTGAGAAGGTCTGCAGCTTCACTCTTGAAGTCAGTGAGACCACGAACCCACCAGTAAGAAGAAACTCCGGACATACCATCTTTAAGAACTGTAACACCGTGAGGGTCCGCGGCTTCCTTCTTGAAGTCAGCAAGACCAAGAACCCACGAATTCCGAACACAGTGGGGTGTGGAATAGAGATTTCATTCCTACAGCCCTTTAAATATTTACATACTATTCTTACCTGAATATTCTTCTCCTTCTCTCATTGCAAATGAGATCTTTTCTGAACTTGACCTTCTTAAATTTGTATAGTGTTGTAGGCTCTGTTACATATCGTCTTACTTAATTTTGCAAGAGTTCAAGAGAAGAGTTTAGTCTTTGCTCTGTGTTTTTATGCTGGCAACTTGCGTATCCACCTCCTTCCTGGCTGCGCAAGTTTCAGGGGTTCCATGTGGGCTCCAGCTAACACTAAATCTTGACCATCGTCCTGCCCTCCTCCCTCCTTCAGTCTCTTAAGTGCACTTCGTGTTGGCACCCTCTAACGTCAGCTTCTGTGCTGGTGCCAATTATGATGCCTCAGTGAATGTGGAGGCTTTTATTTTTTTTTTTTGAGACGGAGTCTACTTCCGTCGCCCAGGCTGGAGTCCAGTGGCACAATCTTGGCTCACTGTAACCTCCGCCTCCTGGGTTCAAGCAATTCTCCTGCCTCAGCCTTCTGAGTAGCTGGGATTACAGGCACCCACCACCATGCCCAGCTAATTTTTGTATTTTTAGTAGAGATGGGGTTTCGCTGTGTTGGTCAGGCTGGTCTCGAACTCATGACCCCATGATCTGTCCACTTCGGCCTCCCAAAGTGCTGGGATTACAAGCGTGAGCCACCGCGCCCGGCCATGTGGAGGCTCTTTAAGAGTCAAGAGCAAGGCGTTTGCCACATTGTATCTCTCTTTGGTACTTAGCGTGTAGCTGAGCACATAAGTTACTATTCATTGAGGTGAGGAGCCCAGAATTGTTTGGTGCCTGTCAAGAGGTAAATAAGTCTCATTACTTTTAATACTTTTGGACTCAGCAGGAAAAAGCCCTAGAGGAAAAAAAAAATTAAGTTCTGTAGTAAAATATTTTGTATTATCTATCTTGAAATTTTTATCAGAACCTCTAGTAAGTTTTTCCTGGCTCTATAATTAATAAATGCAAATAATTCAGAGATAGTATCCTCTTATAAAAGTTGGCAGGTAAGAAAAACGGAAGTACCGTTATTCTGAATTTTAACAGAATTGCTATTGACAAATTTTAAAGGCTCATAATTATATAGATATTTTACACCATAATATGTCTTCACTTAATAAATTGCTCAAGTGTAAACAACTGGTATTAAATTTTGGAGTAATACTACTTAATTATAGTCATCAGTCATGAAAAGTTGTTATAGAACCGTTGTTTTCATTATTTATATTTTCTTAATTACAGGAGGGAATAACTAGGTAGAATGAGTATACTACAGTATTAAGTTCCTGTTTATGAAAACCTCTTATTTTCTTCTGAATAATAAATACCACTTTTTTGAACAGAAGCTTCCTATCCTTGCTTATTTTGTATTGTACTACCAATATGAATGTTTTCAGAGACCTTTTATGGATGATGATTAGATGAATTTTGGGAAACAGGAACATTCTTTTGCTTATACAGGCCGTTGTTGGATTTGTTTTGATCATGCTGTTGTTCATAGAATCTGTTCTCAGTGGGCGGGATTCCTTTAGCAGAGTTTTAAAGTCCTCCTGCAGTATGTTTGATAACTTTTGCTCTGTGGTTGCACCCCTTGCTGTGTCTTTTCATTCTTAGAATATTATGAATATTACTGAACTGCTGTCTTCTGAGTGGACTGTGACACTGTCGAAAGAGGTAAAAAAGATGAGGCTTGGGATCTGTGAGTGGTGGTTACTAAGAGCAGAGGAGTGTGGGGTGCTGCTGAGCGTGGGGTAGCTCACATATTTTGGCACAGAAACTCCCAAGGGGACCAAACTGGATCACCAAGACAACATAGGATGAATGTCAGTGAAACAAACAAAGGGAAAGAGTGTTTTTTAAGCATTGAAGAATGAAGGAATTATTACTGTTTTTTAGAGATAGAGTCTTGCTCTGTCACCCAGGCTGGAGTGCAGCGACATGATCATAGTTCACTGTAATCTTGAACTCCTGGGCTCAAGCGATCCTCCCATCTCAGCTTCCTGAGTAGCTGGGACTACAGGTGCGTGCCACCATGCCTAGCTAATTTTTTTGTTTTTTATTTTGTGTAGAGATGAGGGTCTTACTATGTGCCCAGGCTAGTCTTGAACTCCTGGCCTTGAGTGGTCTTCCCACCTTGGCCTCCCAAAGTGTTGGGATTACAGGTGTGTGCCACCACGCCTGGCCAGAAAGCATTACTCTTGGCTTTTTCACGTGTAAAATTCTGTGAGATAAGACTATCTAAATCTTTATAAATAAGTACAAATTAAAGATGGGAGAATTTCAGTCACCTGTGATAGTTACACAGCTAGTAAGCAGTTGATCTAGACCTTGGAGCACAGTCTTGCTGATTCCATAACTATGTTGTTTGCTTTTTACTACATTGTGCATGTATGCGAGACCACAGGGAAGAAGAGATAAGTCACAGACAAATGATTAAATGTGTTGCACAGAAGGCAGGGGTACACATCACTTTAGATATTCTTGATTTTGCGTTTTCTTCCAGGGTTTGTGCAGCAGTATGTTTTGAAAAATAACGAACAGAACACCTAAAACCAGTTCCTTGGTTATTCCCCGTTTGGATACAGTATTAGACATTTTTCTAAGAGGAGATTATCGTAACAGGTCACTGAGCTGCTTTTATTTTACAGCATAATTATCGGTGAAACAGATAGTGATGAAAGTAAACAATCTGTTTCAGGATTTTAAAGTTTTATAGTGCATCGTCTGTGTCTTTCAATAGTTGACTCCTAAAATCATGACATAGGCTTCTATCCCCGTTTAATTTGATTGAGGAAGGGTTAAAGGTTCAGAGTGCAGAAACCTTTTAAGGAAAAGGGTAGGTAATGGTCGTATACAATATCAATCATGAAAAATTGTGAAAACATTCATCTTCCATTTCATGTATTAGGAGACCTCTGGTAGCAAATACACTCTTGGTGCAGTCTCTCACCACAATAGTTGAAAGAAAATTTGGGGAAAGATATTTAAGTGGGAATGGTAGATGTAATAGTTCTCTGAAGTTACTGGCATCTTTACATTTTACAATTTAAGTCGTGTAAGCATTTAGTTTCTTTTGCTAGGCATGTGCTTCCAGGTGTGTAGAAAGCCAACATTTTCCCACTGGCGTCATCTCTTTATCTACTACAATTAATACTTCATGTTTTTATGATTTGTTTTGAGACAAGGTCTTGTTCTATCACCCAGGCTGGAGTTCAGTGGTGCGATCATGGCTCAAGCAGTCTTCCCACCTCAGCCTCCCCAGTAGCTGCGAATTCAGATGTGCCCCACCACACCCAGCTAATTTTTTTGTATTTTTTGTTTCACTTTGTCGCCCAGGGTGGTCTCAAACTCCTGGGCTCAAGCAATCTACCTGCCTCGGCTTCCCAAAGTGCTGGGATTAACAGGCGTGAGCCACCACACCTCGCCTTGCTTTTATGATTTATTTACTTCTGGTGTCACCTTTTTAGATCCATGCGCTGTGTTCCCTTTCCTTACTTCCTTCCCGGCACACAGAGGACCGGCAGGGCTGACTCAGGGCACAGGGCTGGCACCCTCTGCCACTGTGCGCCAGCAGTCTGCAGACTCTACCTTTGGTGACTTCTCTCCCCTTCTGGGCTGCCCTTCTCTCTCATTTGAACCTGTTATAAATGTGAAAGTGGGAGTGGGAAGAGCAGCCGGGGGCTTCTTCTTAAGATTTGCAGAGGATGCCAGAACCATGATGGCCATATGTGCAGAGTGAAAAATTGAGGCGCTTACTCTGACAGATTTAAATGTACTTATGAGTATTTTAAATAAACTATCCCAAAAAATCCAGAACAGTGGCCATGTAATTTGTAGTACCAACATTCTTAGTGTCTTCTTGTAACCTGTTAGACAGATGGATACAGTAAGTGTATCTTGATACGGAGTTGTGGGGTGACTTTTGCTAACATAAATTAGAGGAATAATACATTTATTCTACTTAGATGTTATTTTAACTACTTCAACTTTCAAATATAAGCCAAAACCAAACTTTTAAATTTTCCTTAGACATTTATGAAGAAATTTGCTCTAACATGGTTGAATTTCAACAGGATCACTTAGTAACTGAACCGAGGATTATTTTGGCCTCCTCACTGGCCCCCAGTCCAGGCTCCTGTTTTCTCACTGTGGGGATAGCGGTGGTGGCGGTGTGTGGAGAGGCTAGTACATGAACAGGAATGAGTAAGAGTCAGGGTGTCAGGGTTACATCAGTCACCTGGGTTTCTCGTCTGTGTTGGCCTTTTCTTCCTCCTCCCTTTACCACCCTGTACTGGATATTATCAGTCCTTTTTTATTTTTTATCAGTCTGTAAAGTTAAGAAATTTTCATTGTTTTAATTTGCATTATAGGTAACCGTCCCATGGAGCATCTCTCCCTATAGGTACTGATTCAGCTTCATTGTATTGTTTGTGGATGTATTCATAGCTCTGCTGGCAGCGAGCTGCTTCACGTGCTTTAGCTCTGTGTGGTATTCAGAAAGCAGTTGACACTTTGATAAAGACTTGGTCAGTTTTATTTATCTTTAATGTGTGTATTTCTTTTTCTTTTCAGTTGCTGATCATCTGGGCTGTGATCCACAAACCCGGTTCTTTGTCCCTCCTAATATCAAACAGTGGATTGCCTTGCTGCAGAGGGGAAACTGCACGTTTAAAGAGAAAATATCACGGGCCGCTTTCCACAATGCAGTTGCTGTAGTCATCTACAATAATAAATCCAAAGAGGAGCCAGTTACCATGACTCATCCAGGTAAACAAAAATGAGGGTTGTTGATTTTGTTTTTCTTCTTAGAAATCATTGCTTTATAGGTAAGCATTCTGCCTCTGCTGAAGCCATGTAATTTCCAACATAATCCTATTAGTATTGCCATTTGTTTGTTGGGATGCATGTTTTTTCCCCATAGTTGAATTTCTTCTTTTTTGTAAGTAATGGTGATAGCAGTCTGTAAAGCTTGGACTTATTAAATAACTGGCTGTGATTAAATCCTTAGTTGTTTTGCATTTCTACATTTTGCTTAATAACTTTGACAAATAATGTATTTGATTTGGAATCATTCGCCCAGGTTATGTCATGGATTCTCAAGGATTGCCTGTCTGGGAAGGATTCTGTTTTCATCAGGATAAATGTTGAAATTGACTTAGTAATTAATATAATTTCAGTAGTAACAATGCTTCTTTATTTCTTCTGGAAGCATTTAGGATATTTCTGATTGTTTAATAACAATAGTTGCAGTTTATTGAGCACTTACTATATAAATGCCAGGCGCTGTGCGATGAGTTTTTAAATATATTTTTTAGACAGTCTTTACAATAACCATGCATGATGTATGTTCTCTCCCATCTTACAGACTAGGAAGGGGACTGAAAGAGGTAAGGGCCAACAGAAGAGGGCTCACACCCTAGTTTTGTTGATGTTCTGTTAGTTTCACCACTCTGTCTCCTTAAGTTGAAATCCAGATAAAATTTAGTTTTGCATTCATGAGAATTTTAGAGTTTGGCTTATTTAAAGAACTAACTTTTCATCGTGTAATTTTTACATAATTATTTTTAGCAAGTTTCTTGCAAAGACTTGCCCACCTTAATTGAGAGTCGTTGGTACTTCCCCACACATCTTGATAGAATGGTGCAGATGGATTTCAACTTTAGTGCCCTCTGACTTGTTTTCTTCCTTTCAAACTAAGCCTTTTAGAAGTAAGATATACTTTAGGAGGCCAAGGTGGGAGGATCACCTGAGGTCAGGAGTTTGAAACCACCCTGGCCGACATGCTGAAACCCCTGTCTCTACTAAAAATAAAAAAATTAGCTGGGCACGGTGGAGGGTACCTGTAATCCCAGCTACTGAGGCTGAGACAGGAAAATTGTTTGAGCCCAGGAGGTGGAGGTTGCAGTGAGCTGAGATCACACCACTGCACTCCAGCCTAGGTGACAGAGCAAGACTCCATCTCAAAAAAAAAAGAAAAGAAAAGAAGTAAGGTGTATTTTTTCCAATTGCAAAAGTAACACATGCTTATTGTACAAAAACTGAAACTAAAGAAAAACACAAAGAATAAAATAAAATGTGTGATTTTTCACTATCCGGAGATCACTGGGGTCGTGTAACTTTTAATTTATTCAGGGAAAGCAAAAGAAAATTAAGGGGCAGTTTAATTTAGCTGGACATCTATGTGGAAACACAGGACTCGAGGGTAGTTTTTCTGCTAGGTTTCAGAGCAGGTGCCGGTTTGCTTTCCTCAGTTGTCTCAGAGGGAAGAAAAACTATTTAAAGATGTGGGCCTAATGTAACTTATCTTCATTCCATGCTGATTTCTTCTTTACTTAAAACATGAAGAAAAATGAATAGGGAGAAATTCAACTGAGCAAAATGTATTTTTCTTTCTTATTAATGTTGTTTTACTTACACAAAACCACAGAGAAGTAGCTAGAATGAGAGTCTTTTAATAAAAGTATGAGATGATCTGGGAATTATGAGGGAATTGAAATCTTAAAAAAAAATTAAATTACTTGTATTTAAAAAGGATGGGAAGCCTGTATCAATGCAGCATTTCCCAGCTGTGTTCCTTGAAATGTTAGTTTGTTTAGATATGTTCCTAGAGGACTCATGGGGAAACAGTAAGTTTCAGAAAATGCTTGAAATGTAGTCCACATTTAGGGGCTCCTAGGACTTATTAACATTTTTGGGTCTCTGAGAAGTCTTAAAGAACCTGTTTTGGCTGGTCGCAGTGGCTCACACCTGTAATCCTATAATCCAAGCACTTTGGGAAATACTAGGTTAATCAAAATAAAAAAAAAAACAAAACAGGCTTTTTTTTTTTCCCCCTCCCCGAGACAGGGTCTAACTCTGTTGCACAGGATGCAGTGTGGTGGTACGATCATGGATCCCTGAGCCTGGGGAAGCCAAGGTAGGAGGATTGCTTGAGCCCAGGAGTTCGAGACCAGCCTGGGCAACATAGGGAGACCCCATCTCTACAAAAAAATACAAAAATTAGCAGGTGTGATGGTGCATTCCTGTAGTCCCAGCTGCTTGGGCGGCTTGGGTGAGAGGATTTCCTGAACCTGGGGAAGTTGAGACTACAGTGAGCCGTGATCACACCACTGCACTGCGTCCTGGACAACAGAGTTAGAAGCTGTCTCAAAGACAAACACAAAACTAAACAAAAAACCCTGTTTTATTTTGAGTAATCTAGTGTTTCCCAAACCTATTTGACCATGTAACTCTTTTTATCACAGATGAGTGTATAACAGCACAAATTAAAGAAATGCAGGGGTATAGTTTGAGGATATATTTAGGAAGTGGAAGGTAAGGCAAACAGTGGAGGTGTGCATAAGAGCAATAGGAAACGGCTTTATGTTGTGATTAGATTCATAGACAGTTAGAAAACATAATGTGGGAAAGTAAATTGGGTAAATTGGAACAATACTTTGGAGAGAAATTTGGCATTATGTGGTATAGTTAAAAGAATCTGCACACTGCGATCATTAATTTCACTCCAGATACATACTCTAGAGTACTTTTCCATCTTTAAAACTTGAATGTGTAGCTCAGAATCTTGTTAAAATGCAAATTCTGATTCAGTAAGTCTGGAATATGACCCAAGAGCCTGTATTATTAACAAGTTTCTAGGTGACACTGATGTTGCTGGCCTACAGATCTTGATTTGAGAAAGAAGGCAGTGAAGAAGGGAAACCTAGTTTTAGTCCCAGGTTTTCCACTGACGTGCTCTGTGACATAGGCCAAGCTGCCTCCTGAGTGCGGGTTGGAGGATAGAGGCCTTCTGTAAGGCCTCTTGTGACTCTAAATCTAGACTCTGTGGAGGGCCATGGATGCCTACGGTGGAGCACAACTGCTGTTTGCCCTTCTCTCACATTTCACCTCCAACCGTGTGAGAGCCAGCGGGCAGATTTCATATACTCACACAAGCACTGATAGCCTCTCTCTGTCCTTCTTTCCACCCTTGTTACTCTCGCACATGTGCATGGACGACACGTAGGAGAGTGTTACAGCATTGTAACAGCAGATTATTGAAAACACCTGCATCTGTCATAGGAGACTGGATTAATTGTGGCACGTTTATGCAGCAGTTAACTGTCAGTGGATTAAAGCTACATGTATTTACATGAATAAGTCTCCCAAACACAGTAAGTTATAGAAGAATATTTATAGTTGGATATCATTTGAATACAATTAAAATGCAAAACTTTTTAATTAAGTCATTTAAGAGCATGTATATAGGTATAAACTAAGAAAAACATACATAAGATTAAGAAATACAAAATTTAGGGTAATGGTTGTCTCTGGAGAGGGAAGAAAGGAAATAGGATCAGAGAGAAGTAAATGTATCTATAATGTTTTATTTCTTAAGCTGAGTGTGGGGGTAGACAGACATTATATTCTTTGTAATTTTTGCTTATTTGAAGTATTTCAAAATAATCATTAGAGAAAAACTTTGTGAAATATTTATAAGGTAGGATTAAAAATAACAGAGAAGTAGGGGTAGCACTTCCGGTTAAGACGAAGTGAAGAGATCAGCAAATCCTCTTCCAAAAAAGCAACTATAAAACTGGACAAAATTGACGAAACAGCCATTTCAGTGTTCTGGATATTAATGAAGGGACAATAATCTGAGACACATTTATGCTTTGAAAAACTTCTAGACTTCAGGTAAGAGCAGTGGAAATTTGTGGTTTAGCAGGGTGCTGCTTCCCAAACTCCCCAAGCTATGCTGTGTGGAGTTTCTGCCAGTGTGGAGCAGGCTGCAAGGACTGGCAGTTTCTGTTTGCAGTGGTGAATGACACCAGAGTCCAGTGTCACTGTCTGTGGAAGTGACTTCACAGAGGTGGGCTAGCAGAGGAGAGCCAGTGACTGGGCAGTTCCTAGGAAACCAGTCTTATTAAAAAGAAGGAGGAAAAAGAACATAGAACAAGAAGAAACTGAGTGGAAACATCATGGTTGCACATCACAGTGAAAATAGATTTCATGTGTTTAACCCAGCCTGTTACTAAACAAAAGTGAACAAGCAGACAAGGCAACACCACCAACTTTAAGGGGGAAAATATCAGAATCCAGAGTTGCTACAATATACTGTCTAAAATGTTCACTTTTCAACAGATTATAAGACATGCAAAATATAGAGATGTTTGACTCATATTCAGGAAAACAAAAGTCTATAGAAACTGTCTATAAGTGTTCCCAGATAATGGATTTAGCAGAGACAAACTTCAAAGCAATTAATATAAATATGTCCAAAGACTAAAGGAAACTATATTAAAGAAATAAAGTATGACAATAATGAATGGCAGCAATGAGTCAACAAATAGAGATTCTCAGTAAAGAACATAAAAATTCTATAAAAGAGCCGAGCCAGACAGACATGCTGGAATTGGAGAGTACAATTTTGGAAATGGAAAATTCACTAGAGGCCTTCAACAGCAGATTCAAAATAGTAGAGGGAAGAATCAATTGAAGGAAAATGAACAGAGCCTCAGATGCCTGTGGGACACTGTCAGACACACCAACATATATCAGAGACCTAAGATACACAAAGCAAAAACTGACAGAATGGGAAGGAGAAACAGACATTTCAATCATTATAGTTGGAGATTTTAACACCCTACTCTTAGTAATTGATAGAATAGCTAGATAGAAAATTAGCAAGCATATAGAAACCTTGACCAACACTATTAACCAACTTGACCTAGCCAACATATGTAGCACACTCTACATACTGACTAGAATACACATTCATTTCAGGCACACATGGAGCATTCTCTCGGATAGACCATATGGTTGGCTGTAAATCAAGTCTGAATATATTTTCAAAGACTGAAATTGTACAAAGTGTATTCTTCAACCACAACTAAAGAAAAGCTGGGAAATTCCCAAGTCTTTGAAATTAAGCAGCACACATCTAAATAACACACGGGTCCAATAAAAAATTCAAAAGGAAATTTTAAAAACATTTGGAACCAAACGAAAATGAAAACACATCCGAATTTGTAGGATGCTGGGAAAGCAGTACTTAGATGAAAGTTAATAGCTTTAAATACCTAGGTCAGTAAACAAAGATACTTTTGCCTTTGGAAACTATAAAAAAGAGGAACAAACAAAACCCCAAACCAGTAGAACAAAGGAGTTAATAAAGATTAGAGGAGAAATAAGTGAGACAGAAAAGTCATAGAGAAAGTCAACGAAACCCAAAAGTTGGTTCTTTGGAACTATCAATAAAATTGACAAACCTTTAGATAGACTGACCAACAATAAAAAAGAAGACAGTTTACCAAAATCACAACTAAAAAAGGACATCACTACTGACTCTACAGAAACTTAAAGGATTATAAAGGAATATTGTGAAGAACTTTATGGTAACTATGTCTGGGGTCCCCATGACCATCCACAGGTTCAGTGACTCACTAGGAGGACTCACAGGACTCACCACATAGTCACACTCACAGTGAGTCACTCTTATTAGGTAATGGTGGGAATCCTCCCCAAACCCATGTTCCCAGATGCCACCCAAGGGCCAAGATTGTAAGCAGGCCTTTCGACGGATAGTAGTTCAAACCTGCTATGTTTACTTTTTTCTGTATACTGACAAATTAGACACCTTAGATGAACAAATTCCTAAAAATATACAGATTGTCAGAATTGACTCAAGAAAAAATAGCATATCTGAGTAGCTATAATAAGTAAGAAATTGAATTGGGGATTAAATATCTTCCCATGAAATTCGCTGGTGCAGTCTATCAAATATTTAAAGAAAAAATAATACTAATCCTTCACAAACTTTCAGAAAATAGAGAACATTTCTCAACTTATTCTGTGGAGCTGGTTTTTACCTTCATATCAAAGCCAAACAAAGAGATCCATGGAAACTATATACCAATATCCCTTACGAATGTAGGCACAAAAATTCTTTTAAAATTATTAGCAAATAGAATCTAGTAATATATAAAATGGATTAGATTCATTACCCCAGGAATGGGATATATGGTTTTTTTTTTTACATCTGAAAATCAATAGAATAAATGAAAAAGCCAACTAACCATTTTCGGTAGGTGCAGAAAAAGCATTTGACAAAATCTCAGTACCCATCATGATTTAAAAAAAAAAAAGCATTTAACACATTAGGAAATATCCTCAGCCTGATAAAGGGCATCTGTGGAAAAGCCACAGTTAGCATCATATTTGATAGTGAAAGACTAACTGCTTTCTCCCTAAGATCAGGAACAAGCCAAGGATGTCCACTCTCATTAGTTGTATTCAACATTATACTTACTCAACATTTTTCTTGTGGTTTTAACCATTGTACACAGGGAAGAAAGAAATAAAAGACATCCAGTTGGGAAAGGCAGAAATAAAATTCATTATTCATAGGTTGTGTATGTAGAAAATCAGATAGAATTTATTAAAAACCACTAGATGTAATAAACAAGTCTTGAAAGAATGTAGAATACAAAGTCATTATACAAAAACCAATTGTATTTCTCTCTCTCTCTCTTTTTTTTTTTTAAAGGCAGAGTCTCGCTCTGTTGCCCAGGCTGGAGTGCAGTGGTACGACCTTGGCTCACTGCAATCTCTGCCTCCTGGGTTCAAGTGAAAGTGATTCTCCTGCCTCAGACTCCCGAGCAGCTGGGATTATAGGCGCACACCACCATGGTTTCACCATGTTGGCCGGGCTGGTCTCGAACTCCTGACCTCAAGTGACCTGCCCACCTCAGCCTTCCAAAGTGTTGCGATTACAGGCATGAGCCACTGGGCCTGCCCAAAAGCCATTGTATTTCTATATGCTAGCTATGAACGTTCCAAAAATGAAATTAAGAAGAGTTCATTCTCAATAGCCTAACAACAAAAACTTGTTAAAAAGAAATGTAAGAATTGCACATTGAACCTACAAACATTACTGAGAGAAATTCAAGAAAATCTCAGCCAAGTGTGGTAGCACACACCTGTAATCCCAACACTTTGGGAGGCCAAGGAGGGAGGATCACTTGAGCCCAGGAGTTTAAAACCAGCCTGGGCAACATAGGGGGACCCTGTCTCTACAAAAAAATAAAAAATAAAAAAAGTAGCCGGGTGTAGCAGTATTCACCTGTGGTCCCAGCTACTCGGGAGGCTGAAGTGGGAGGATCATTTGAGCCCAGAAGGCAGAGGTTGTGGTGAGCCCAGATGGTGCTGCTGCATTCTCGCCGGGCAACAGAGCGAGACCCTGTCTCAAAAAAAAAAAAAATCTGGATAAATGGAGAGACCTTTCATATCCTTTGATTCCATTGTTCAGTATTGTCAGGGTGGCAGTTATCTTAAAATGGATATATAAATTCCTTGTGGTATGTACCTATGCAAATCACAGCATGTGTTTTGTAGAAATTGATAAGCCGATCCTAAAATTATATGGAAATGCAAAGTACCTAGAATAGCCAAAGCATTTTGGAAAAAGCACAGCATTAGAGGACTTACACACTCCGTTTCACAACTTTAGTAATCAAGGCATTGTGGTATTGGTAGAAGGACAGGCATATAGATCAGTGGATCCAAATTGAGAATCTAGAAATAAATATCTTTACGGTCAATTGATTTTCAACAAAAGTGCCACGATCATTCAGTGAGGGAAGGACAGTCTTTCAACAACCAGTGCTGAAACAATTGTTATCCACATGCAAATTTAAAAAAAGAAGCCGGGCCTCGTGGCTCATGCTGTAATTACAGCACTTTGGGAGGCTAAAGTGGTAGAATCACTTGAGCCCAGGAGGTTGAGGCTGCAGTGAGCCATGATGGCACCACTGCACTCTAAGGTGAGCCACAGAGCAAGATTGTTTCAAGGAAGAAGGAAAGAAGGGAGGGAGGGAGGAAGGGATTTAGACTATATAAAAATGACTTCACTTGGATATTAGACAAAATGTAAGAGGTAAAACTGTAAACTTTTAGAAGATAGTCTGTGATTTTGAACAAGAAGTTCTTGCCTATAACTCCAAAAACACTGTTTATAAAAAAAATTAGATTTTATCAAAATTAAAAACCTTTGTCATTGAAAAGAAACCATTGAAAAACAATGAAAAGATAAGCTACAAACAAAATATTTTTCAATCATACATCTGATATAGGACTTGCATCCAGAATATATAAAGAACTCTTATAAATCAACAAGATAAACAACCTAGTTTTACAACGGGCAAAAGGTTTAATAATTAGACATTTTATTGATCATTAGACAAATGCAATCAAAACAACAGTGCAACCAAAACAATACTATTTCACATCCTCTAGAATGATCATAATTAAAAAGTCATACAGTACCAAGTTTTGTTGAGGATGTGGATAAACTAGAATCCTTATGTATTGCGAGTAGAAATGTGAAATGGTACAACCAGTTTGGAAAATAGTTTGGCAATTTATTTAAACATTGAACATAAAAATACCATATGACCCAGCAGTCCCACTCCCAGATATCTAAGAGAAATGAAAACAATGAAATGTCCACACAAAGACTTACACACAAATGCTCATAGCAGCATTGTTTATTATGGCCAGAAAAGTAGAGACAACGCAGTTGTTCATCAACTGGTGAATAAACAAACAAGTTATATGTCCATAAAATTGAATATAGTTTAGCAATTACAGTTGGCCCTTGAACAGTGAGAAGGTTAGGGAGGGACACTGACCCCCACACAGTCAAAAAGCTACGTATAACTTTTGCCTCCCCCCAAATTTAACTTTTTTTTTTGAGATGGAGTCTCAACTCTGTCACCCAGGCTGGAGTGCAGTGGTGTGATCTTGGTTCACTGCAACCTCCGCCTCCTGGGTTCAAGCAATTCTCCTGCCTCAGCTTCCCGAGTAGCTGGGATTACAGGTGCGTGCCACCATGCCCAGCTAATTTTTGTATTTTCACTAGAGTTGGGGTTTCGCCATACTGGCCGGGCTGGTCTCAAACCCCTGACCTCAGGTGATCCACCCACCTCAGCCTCCCAAAGTGCTAGGAGTACAGGCGTGAGCCACCGTGCCCAGCCCTAAATTTAATTACTAATAGCTTGCTGTTGACCAAAAGCCTCACTGATAACATAGTCGATTAATACATACTTTGTTATATATGTTATATGCTGTTATATAAGAAAATGTTATTAAGGAAATCATAAGGAAGAGAAAATATATTTACTGTTTATTAAGTGGAAGTTGGTCACATCACCATAATGGTTTTCATCCTTATCTTCTTCCCATTGAGTAGGCTTAGGGGGTAGGAGGAAGAGGACGGTTGGTCTTGTTATTTCAGGGATGGCCAAGGAGGAAGAAAATTTGCCTGTAAGTGGATCTGGACAGTTCACACTGGTGGTATTCTCAGCTGTAAATGGAATTAACTCTTGACACATGGATAAACCTCAAAAGCATTATGCTAAACGAAAGAAGCCAGACACAAAAGGCTACTATTATATGATTCCATTTATATGAAATGTCTAAGAAAGTCAAACATACAGAGACAGAAAGCACATTAGTGGCTGTGTAGGGTAGAGCTGGGCATGAAGATTAATTGCAGTGAGCATGAGGGAGCTGGCATGTTGGCAAGCATCAGTAATCCCAGCTACATCGGAGACTGAGGCAGGAGCACCCTTGACCCCAGGAGGTCAAGTCTAAGCCTGGGCAACACAGCAAAACCCCCATCTTTTAAAAAACAAAAATAAAACACCAAAAAGGGAACATGTATTTTTAAAAACGGCGTGAGTGAATTTTCTGGGGGGTGATGGAAATGACCCAAAACTGGATGTGATGATGGTTGCACATCCCTGTAATTTTACTCATTGTACACTTACAAAGATGAGTCTTGTAGGATGTAAATTATACCTCATTAAGGCTGTTTTTAAAAAGTATAATGCAAACTAAAGTTCAAAAGCAACACAAATACAAGATTCTTAAACTGAAACAGGTTTCAGTTGTATGTCCTCAAGTATTCTTACTTGGAGAGACAAAGCAAGTATTTATGAGGTGATCTTTTTTTACTTTTATTTGTATTTTGAGTATTCAAGATAGAAATTAAAAGAGCATATAAGGATAGAATGGTATTAAAAAGTGGACAGTGGCTGGGTGTGGATCACGCCTGTAATCCCAACGCTTCAGGAGGCCGAGGTAGGCGGATCACCTGAGGTCAGAAGTTCAAGACCAGCCTGGCCAACATGATGAAACCTCATCTCTACCAAAAATACAAAAATTAGCCGGGCGTGGTGGTACACACCTATAGTCCCAGCTACTTGGGAGGCTGAGACAGGAGAATCCTTGAACCCAGGAGGCAGAGGTTTCAGTGAGCTGAGATTGTGCCACTGCGCTCTAGCCTAGGCAACAAAGCAAGACCTTGTCTCAAAAAAAAAAAAAAGAGGTGGATAGTGGCCAGGCATGGTGACCCACACCTGTAATCTCAGCACTTTAGGAGGCCTAAGCAGGGTGTAGCTTGAGTCCAGGAGTTCTAGGTCAGCCTGTTCTAGACATAACAAAACCCCATCTCTACTAAAAATACAAAAATGAGCTGGGCGTGGTAGCACTCACCTGTAGTCCCAGCTACGTTGGACTACATGGCTGTATTGTTCACAAAAGCAATGGAAGTAAACCCATTTGTTTAAAAAAATTCTGCAATATAATATTGCTTTTATTTTTAAGATTAGTAAAAATGCCATTTTGTTTGGGAATTTGTGAATTATCTGCAAACTACTCATCTTAGTGTGTGAAAAGATTCTTGGTTCTTGGTTAGAGCTTTTATCCTTTTTCTTTGAGCACTTTCTGTTTTCCCTTTGAACTTCTAGGCTGTTGCCCATTGTCTCCTGTTTTTCAGACAGAATAAATTCTTGGTTTCATGCTGTTCTCAGTGGAGATGCTGCCTGTCACATATTCATCACCTTAGAAAAACATTATTGAAATACTTCATCCAATTTATAGATCACTGTTTCCATAGCTGTCTCAGTTTCTTCTGGTTGTTCATCTTCCAAAATCATATTTAATAATTTATCACAGATTTTAATTTTTTATGACATTCTCAATCATTTTTAGTTATAGAAGAAAAAAATGTTTTAGTTGGATGATATAGTACCTCTAAAATAGAGAAAAGAATTTGGCATAAATGTCAAACAGTCACAAGATTGGGATTTGAATCTTAGACCAAGTTGATTATCAGCTTTGTGATTTCGGGTAACGGAGTCCTTAAACTGGCATCCTCGTCTACCTAAAAGAGGGTGATTGCAAAATTTATTGAGCTAACAAACTGTAATGTATAACAGTTGTACAATTTTTCTTATGCCTGGAATAAGCAGTAGCTTTTATAAAATTATGAAATCAATTTTTCTTTCATTTTGAGATTGGCACTTTAAAAAAATTTCTAAGTATACTTTTTCTTCATTCTCCTGGTGTTTTTCCATATAACTTAATTGTTTAAAATATATCTAGTACAAAAAAATAGTTAATCAACAGGTATCGATTTATACCTGCTATATGCCAGGCATTCTGTGATGGACACTGTAGGGATTTGTAGAAGGATGTACGAGTGAGTGTTTGCCGGGAACACTTCCTCCCTTAGGGAAACACACACGCCTGAAGTAATTGGGGAACCACTCAGTGCATAACTTTGCATACCTACGTAGCGGGATCAGCTGTAGTGTTATTACGAAAGGGGTTCTGACCCAGGTCTGGAAGACTTCATGTAGGAGGCATTCATTGTGCCAGGCCCTGCATAATGAGGATTACTTAGGATTCGACCAGAAAGAGAAAATCCTCTCAGTAGACGAACCACATGAATCAAAAATCTGGTGAGAGGAGAGGGAGTCGGAAGGAAATGGAGAAAATCAGGTAACTGCAAGTAGAGAGAGGGAGTTGGATTCTATATGCTAATTGTTTTTTGAACTCTTGTTAGAGCTCCAAGCATAAACAAGACACACATGGTGCCTCTTTCCATGGAGTTATAACAAGCAGAGAAGATGAACATTGAGTACGAAGTCATGACTGTGGGAAGTGACTTAGGTCCAAGGGGTCAGAGAGGAATGCCTTGAGGAAACAGCATCCGAGTCGGAGTTGAGGAGTTGAGAAGAGTATTCTAGGCCAAAGGCCCCTTGTAAGTGAAGGATCTGAGGTGGGGAAAAGCAAAACAAAAGTAATTTTAAGTACAGGAAAAAAACAGCACAGCTCAACATGGTGGATAGGGTAATAGTAAATTCAATTCAGAGCAGAAGTGTGCCTAAAGCAGGGACTGTCGCTTAGTAACACGGGAGGATTTGAAAGAAGGGAGGCGTGGTCTCGATGAGGTTGATGCGGCCTAAGCTGTGCTTTCCAGCGCTGCACTGGGGTGTGCAGTCTCACACCGGCAGCAGCCACAGAGCCGGGCAGCCGGAGCCCCAGTGAATGATGGCAGCTGTCTCAAGCAGCTAGCAGGGTTCCTAGCTTCTTCTCTGCCATCTGATTGGGACCTGGAAAACCAGCAGGAAGCATTGGGTGGGAGTGTGGAGGGAACCAGTGGTGGCAACAGAAGCCCCACAGGTGACGTGTGGAGAGGAAGAGTGGAGCAGGAAGGCACGCGTCCTGGCTGCTAGGGTTCTTAATGGAGTGGGTGCTCAGGATGAGAGGGACAGTGGTTATAGAAAGGTCCTGTTTCAGTCCAGCGAGCTGCACTAGCTGAAAGCCTGTCCTAAGAATGGGGTGAGAAGTGCAGGTTAAGTAGCACAGAGAACACACACACTATCAGAAGCTTCTCTGAGTCTCGTCTTTTCAGCCAGGCATTCACGGTAAATCTCCAGAATTATGATCCTCTTCTGACTTTCGTATGCCATAACTCTCTGCCTTTCTGTTTCTGCTTATACTCAGAGAAGGTCATTATACACTGGCAACTCCTTGCTTTCCAGGCTCATCAATGTGTTACTCAGTTCCCTTCCTCCACAGATAACCCTTCTCACCCTGTAGGGCAGTGCTGTCTACAGAAATTCAAGAACCCTGGTGTCAGAATCACATAAGCTAATTGGAAAGACACTGATTCCAGGATCCTCCCCCCACCCCACCCCAGACAGTCTCAAGGGATGGACCCAGAGACCCGTGCTTTCACCCCGTCCTGCTCCTGTGCCAGTTTTGCCCTCCCTTCATCATAGGGCAGAAGCAGTGGTTTGGCAGCTCTCTGTGCTGTGCATTTTGATGTGAACTAGTAAGAACTGGTAAAAGTCAAAAGGAGAGAAACCCGGATCATTGCCCTTACTGAGTTTACAGTCCAAGGCTCCTGCAGTCTTCAGAGCCCTCTCTGTGCCTCCATGACAGTATTGTCCTTTTCCTTTCATGTGGTCATTCTTTGCATACTGGACTGGCAGTAAGGAAAAGCCCAGGGTTTCATGCAGTTAAAGTTTGTGTCATGTCTTTCGGTTCTCTGCAGTGGTCAGCAGAATGCCCTGAACAAAATAAATATGGCTTGCTCTGAAATGATTTTATTAAGTTATTTAGTTTGGTTGTTAAGCTTTCTTTTCATTTAAGGCTATGTTTTATACCTAATTTTAAAATTCCACATTGGAATATAAGTATTCCCTATATACTGTATGTACCAATACAAGTGTAAGTATTTTGTTTTCTTGCCTTGTCAACCAAGAGCTTGGTCCTGTTTATTCTAAAGCATGCCCTTCACCTGGTGACTGAAGGACGTCTGTTCCAGTGCCCTGTCCATGACGTCATTGACAGGAAAGGCTACTCATTGTGTGGTTTCACTTGTTACCTCTGGTTAGCAGAGTGAGTTCTTTGTCATGTAGTTAGCGGATCTGTGGTAGTATGAAGGGGACGTTATGGGTTCTTGGATAGTTTACAATAATGCATACTTGTCTGAAAATTATGGATTTATTTTCCTGGTTTTTAAAGATTTATATAGACTTTACTGTTATTGTTTAATCATCTTAAGTTGTGTTAAATCACTGTCTGATAGAATTAGCTGTAGTTTTATCTGTATGTCTGTAAGAATTTTGTGGACATTCTTTCCATTGTTGAAAGGAAGATGAGGTAATTTAGATAAACATGTAACCAAATAATAATGTTGCTTTTTAATCTTTTTATCAATCAGCAATATCAGATGCTTCTTACTGGGTTTTTCTTTTTTTTTTTTGGATGGTTGAACAAAATTAGTTGAATGGCTCTTCACCTTTTTTCCATCATATTCTCTTAAAAACGTATTTAGCTCTATATTTATTATCTAGCATTGAATAGAAAAATGTCACACTTTGTAAAATATAGAAAATTCACTGTGAATACAAAAAATACTTTATGAAAACAAGTAAAAAGAAATCACAAACACATTGTAGAATACCTTTACGTATCAGTAATTTGGGCCACTTAACGTAAATCTATTTTCTTTATTCTAAATGCCTATCAAGAAAATGAGTAATATAAGTATACTATTGTTTTACCGTTTAAAGTTTTTTAGCTTCTAATTGAATATGGATTTAACTACCTCAGAAAAGATGGAGCTTGGAATTGAAGTGTACTGCTGTGGCAGGAAGTAAGGGTTTAAATTGCATTTATATTTTTGCCTGAGTTTGCACATGCTTCTACTGTATCTTCCATCTGGTTCATACATTTTTTTAAAAAAAATTCATAATTATCAAAATCTAAAACTGAAACACTTAAGCAGTAGCTTTAAAAAAATAAAAATAGCCTTTAATAAAATAAATGCAATGGTTCCATTTTAAAACTTCCATAAGCTCTTAATTTTCTTTTTTCTTTAAATCTGAAGTGGAACTGGAGAGTGCCTTCACCAGCAGATACATGAGACTGTCCTCTAGCCTTCCTTGCAGTCTCCGTGTCCCAAGTGGGTTGTTTGAAGTTGTCACTTGATTTACTTTTTTGTCTTTTCTGTGCTTCTCTTTCCTCACTGGCAGCAGAAGAGGAGGAAGGTAAAATCATATAAAGGATCTACATGGGTTTGAAATACTGTTTTAGAAATCAGTTTCCTAGGTTCCAGGACGGAGGATGTTCTTAACTGATAGAAGTTCATATGATGATGGACCTGACCTTGGAGTTAGGATCTCAAGAGTTGGTCTCACTGGCACAGCTGCTAAGGAGGATCATGCAGCCTTAGGCTATAGGTGTTAGAGGTCTGGGTGAGGATCTCTACCCCGCATTGATGCTTACAGTGCTTCTCGATTCAGGATGGAAGTGGAGGACAAGGCAGGGGTATTTTGGGACAGTCCTTTTGCTCTGCAGGTCTGTCTTTTGTATTACAGAGTGTTTCACCTCCCAGGTGTGGACCTGCTAAGTGCTGGTGGCACACCTCTGCGCCTGCGACAGCATGGAGACCCCTCCCACAGGGCTTCCAGACACCCCCAGGAGAGCTTTACTGCCCCTGTTGAGACCCACTGTCAGATGCTTAAGTTTGAGGAGCGTTTAGAGGAAGAATGAAAAGGGACCCCTCATTCGTGAAGGGAGTGGGAATGGCAAAACTCATGAAAAAACGGTAGGCTTTTATGTTTGCCTACATACTAACAGTTCTGCTGTTCTTTATTTCTTTCTGAATTTCCAAGTTTCCGTTTGGTGTCATTTCCCTTTTTTTAAATCATTTCATGCAGCACAGATCTCCTGATGATGAATTCTCTCAACATTTATTTATCCGAAAGTGTCTTTTTTTGGCCATCATTTTTCAAAGACAGGTATAAATTTTTGTGTTGACAGAATTTTCCTTTCAGCACTTCAAAGGTGTTGTTTGTTGTTTTCTGGCTTACGTTTTTTTCTGATGAGAAGTTGTTCCCTTTTATATAATGAGTCTTTAAAAAAAAACTTTACTTTTTAGAACTGTTTTACATTTATGGAAAAATTGGGAAGATAGTACAAAGAATGTCTGCAAACCCTGCACCCAGTTTCCTGTTAGGTACCATGTGACATGTTAATTTGTTGTACCACAGGGAACTAATGTTGGTACATAATTATTAACCAAAGTCTATTACTTTATTCATATTTCCTTAGTTTTCACCTAGTTTTTTTTCTGTTCTAGGATCCCACCCAGGACACCACATTACATTTAGTCATCATGATCCATTAGTTTTCTCTTGGCTGTGATACTTTTTTAGACTTTCCTTGTTTTTGATGACCTTGACAGCTTTGAGGACTGCTGGCCCAGCATGTTGTAGAATGTCCTTCAACTGGGACATGTTTGATAGTTTTCTTATAATTAGGCTAGGGATATGGGTTTTTGGGAGGAAGACCACAGGGATTTGTAAAGTACCATTAGCATGCATCCTGTCATACCAAGTTTATGTGCTATCAGTGTGAAGTATCACCAGTGATGTTGACTTTGGTCACCTGGCTGAGGTAGTGTCTGTCAGGTTCTCCACTGTGAAGTTAACTCTTTTCCCCCTGCCATATGATAACTTTTGACACCACTGTGCACAGCCCACACTTAATAAGTGGGGATTTATGCTCCATCTCCCTTAGGGTAGAGTATCTACATAATTATTTGGAATTTTTCTGCATGGGTGATTTGCCTCTGCTCCATTTATTAATTTATTCAGTCATTTATTTATATCATTATGGACCCATGGGTATTTATTTTACACTCTGGATTATAGTACAGTACAACTCTGTTACTCAAATTATCCTAGCTTTGGCCACTGGGGATTCTTTATGTTGGCTCCTGTGTCCTTTGACATGCCTCCATTGTTGTGGGTGTTGGATTTTTGTTTTTTTGTTTTGGTTTAGTTTAGTTTTTGAGCACTTTCTTACTTTCTGGTGCTGTAAGATGTGCCAGGCTCCTTTTGCATATATTTTCTGCCCCTTGAGCATTATTGAACTTTATCAGTAATGACACATCAGTCCTAGAATCAGCCATTTCTCCAAGGAACCCTGGTTTCTGTTTATTGGAGAGTGGTATTAAAAACCAAGATCCGGGCATTAGATGTGATGTTACTGCCGAGATGCCTGTTGCTTCTGGGCCTTCTCAGCTGACAGAACAAGGAAATACATGCGTGTATCCTAACTCCTGCATATCTACATATCTATAAATATTTCTATCTGTAATCATCTGCATTGATATTAAGCTAACAATGAGTTCATACTTATGTCTCCAATTCTAATATATTGCCACATGGATCATTGTAGCTCTCTCTCCTTTCTTATCACTAAACTCCCACTCCTAAATGAAAAACCTGGCTCTTGCCATCCTACATCTATTTACTTAATTATTCAGCTCACTGAACTCTCAGATTTATAAATTCTTTAATGTAAATAACAGATTTGAAGGTCTTTTAGAGTTCTGGTGCTTGGCGTGAAAGCTTCTGTAGCCCACTTTCCTCCCAACCTGAATCTCCCTTGGTTAGAATGCCGAACTCTCTACTTAATGTTTCTTTTCCCACCCATTTAAAATTCTTTTATCAAAAGCTTGTAAGAAAGCATAAATGTAAGCATCTTACTTGAAAGAGGCACAAAACTAGGGAGGTGAAATCTTGAAACATAGATAAGAGGAGTATTCCTTAAGTCAACCTGCAAATGGGTTGTTTAAAACTAGTATAGCAAAGGTTTGTGGAGACGTGGCTTAAGTGGAGACGTGGCTTAAGTAACAGTTCAAATGGAGAAGGAGAATGCCTGGGAACCTTCAGTCACGTGAGCTCCGTGTACATTGATGTGTGCCGTGGCTTCCAAACATTACATTGGAATCTTAGGCTGTATCCCTGTGGCCATAATCAGATGTAAGGAGATGTTAGTGTCATGCTACTCTTGATACTGAAAGCATTGTATTTGTAGTTCACATTTACGTAAGTGAAGACACTGGAAAACTGATGTCCAGAAAAGAATAAGTTAGGAAAGCTCTGTACACAGGGTCTTATGAAGCATAATTTAGAATTTCAGCATCAAAATGAATAACGTTAGTAGCTGTTTCAACTGATTGAATAAAATAGGAACCATGAATCTGTACTGATTTAAAAAGTAAAAGTAAACTGAAGGTTTCATGAGGATGGAATATTTACCTAGCCTCAAAGCACCTCCCCACAGAATACATACTAATTACAAAGGGGAAAAGAGGAACTTCACAGTGCACATGCCTGGAGGACATCACCTTTACCAAATTATCAAAGTGAACTTTACTAGTAATGGCAAATAAAAAAAAGCTCTCGGCCGCCTGGTGGTGTACACTGAAAAGAGCGCAGCCTCACCTCCGTGTTGTTACTGCCAGCGGCACCTGACCTGAATCTAGCCACAGGGAAATACCTTCGACAGATCAACTGGGCCGAATGTAGTCTTCGAAAGTGCCAAGGTCACAAACACCAAGAAAGACCGAGAGACAGTTGCAGACTGACGGAGATGGCTATGACGTGACGACTGAGTGTAGCATGTGACTCGGACCTGGGCTGCTGTAAAGGACGTTATTGGGAAAGTCGCAGAAGCTTGGATGGACTTCGGGATTGGATGGCAGTGACACATCAGTGTTAAGCTCCTTATTTGGGGGTTGTATTATGTTTATAAATTTTGTTTGTAGGAAAATACCACATATTCGGGGGTGATGAGGCATCATGCCAGGAACTTACTCTTGAATGGTTCTAGGTTTTAAAAGTTTTTATATGATATTTCGAATTTTTCTGTAAGTTTTAGATTCTTTAAATAATAATAATTATTATTATTTTTAAATGAATGATTTGGGACTCTAGAATTAGTATGGAAAAAAGACTGAAGTGGGGACCCAGGGAGGCTGTCTTTGCACATTTTAAGAATTGTTATGTTGAAGAATTCTCATTGGTTCTGGGATGCTCAACTTAAAGTGGGAATGTTTCTTGTATTCCATGACATCTTAGAGTTGCTTGACAGATTTTTTTCTTCATGATACATAATGATGTACCTTGTGGTTGATGGTATTTTATACATCAATAAATGAAAAACAGGTTTATTCAGTGGTGTTTTTCCGGAGGAGAGAACCACGAGCCACAAACAGATGTTTAGAAATTTAGATTTTGGCCAGGCGCAGTGGCTCACGCCTGTAATCCCAGCACTTTGGGAGGCCGAGGCAGGCGGATCATGAGATCAGGTGATCAAGACCATCCTATCAGGTGATTGAGACCATTTTGGCCAACATGGTGAATCCCCGTCTCTACTAAAAATACAAAAAAATGAGCCGGGTTTGGTGGTACGTGTCTGACATTGCAGCTACTTGGAAGGCTGAGGCAGTAGAATCAGTTGAACCCGCGAGGCAGAGATTGCGCCACTGCACTCCAGCCTGGCGACAGAGTGAGACTCCGTCTCAAAAGAAAAAAAAAATTAGATTTTAAGGAAGGAAGACCTAAGACTTAAATCCAGGTGACCTGTGGACAGAACTACTCAGTTGAGAGGATCAGTAATTTGTGGGAGTTCCTGTGTTGTGTTGAAAGTTGGCAACCCCTGGAAATTCTTCACTGAGAGTCTGTGGCTCTCCACTGATTGGTGGCTTGTCTTCTTCAGTGCCCACCCCCCTTCTGCCTCTGTGTGTGAAGGAAGAAAGCTTTCTGTTCTGGGCAGGTGCTTGCTCCTGCCCCCTTTTCTTTCTCTTGACATACAGTCAAGAGATAGCATAAGAAGAAAAGCTGACATTCAAGTGCTGTACTGTGGCCCCTTGGCCCTACTTGTATGTGATTGAAGAACTTCCTGTTCAAGGAAGAAAGAAGAGAAGACCCTTGGCTTTTGGTGACAAGCTGTAGCCCACTGTCCTCAGGAATTATCAGTGAGTGACTACCACTCAGTGGCTTACACATTCGGCTTCCCAGCAGACGCATGGCAGGAGGTTCAGGTTCAAGCATTTGCAAAATTACAGGTTGGTCTTTGCTGTGCGTCTGTGGGTGCTGAGGGATCCTGTGGTGGTGGCGTACAGCACGTCCACACCAGTCACTTCCACGTGGGGAGACTTCACTTTCAGTTTTGTGCAGCAGACCGCGTTCTTCCTCTCCGTAGTCACGTGCTTCCCCGCCTGTCACTGCTCCCCGTTCATCAGCGGTCCTGCCACCATCCTGGGCAACTTGAGAATCCACCTGGAAAGTGAACACCTAACCGAAAATTCCTTCCACAGGCCCGTCAGTCATTCCACTTCTCCAGGAGCCTGGTCCCATAGCTGCTCCCTGGGCCTCATCATCTCCCAGAATTGTTACATCTCGAGTTGCAAACTCCTGTGTCCTGTGTCCTGACCAGTGCCTCTTCCCTTTCTCCCCCTCTCTTCCTGTCATTTAGTTTTGTTGAAGCTTCCAGTTCCCTGGACCCTTTCTTAGTTTTCTCCCAGTTTCCCTCCTGGCTTCACCTCTCCGTCCTGCCCAGATTGCATGAACCACTATTCCAGTCACTTTGCCCAACAGTTTCACTGGGTCCGAGAGTGTTCACCGTTCCGTGACTCAGTTACCCTCAGGGCCATGTGGCTCCCCAGTGCTTGAGTGTCCAGTGAAAGAGTTTGCACTTTATTTTTCTGACAGAAGGGATACATCAAAGGCTTTTGAAAGCAGAGTGACAGCAGGTCTATATTTTAGGAAAACTACTGACAAGTCTCAGCAGGAAATCTATAATTGATATAACCTCCATCTGTCAGAATTATTGCTATATTCATTTCCTAAAAGAATGTAGAATGTATCTGTTTTTCCCCCTTGAGTTCTTTAAGGGATCAGTGAAGAGAAGAATGAAGATTGGGTTTGAAGAACTGAAAGTTGTGGATGAACATTTGAGAAGGACTTTCATTAAGTCAGTGGAGTGAGATGAGAAGTCTTGGGATCAGGAGCCAGCAGTCTCCCTGAGACACAGGCAGCCAGGGCTCTGCCCCATGTGCAGCTTGACCCTGAATACACCTAGCTGTTGCCTCAGCAGCAGTCCTTCTGGAACTTCAAAGTGATTTTTTTTTTTTTTTTTGAGACAGAGTCTCGCTCTGTCGCCCAGGCTGGAGTGCAGTGGCGTGATCTCGGCTCACTGCAAGCTCCGCCTCCCGGGTTCATGCCATTCTCCTGCCTCAGCCTCCCGAGTAGCTGGGACTACAGGTGCCCGCCACCACGCCCGGCTAATTTTTTGTATTTTTAGTAGAGATGGGGTTTCACCGTGTTAGTCAGGATGGTTTTGATCTTCTGGCCTGGTGATCCACCTGCCTCAGCCTCCCAAAGTGCTGGGATTACAGGCGTGAGCCACCCCGCCCGGCCTCAAAGTGATTTTAATCTTTTTCACTTAAAGTATATGGTGTTCTGCTTTACGTATAATAGGTTATATAGGAATAACTAATGCCACTGTGAGTAACCAATAGTAAAAATGCTTATGGTAAAGCCACCTCTCTCCTCTTGCAGCCTGGTGCCTCAGACAGCTCATTTGTTCTCTTCCTGGATCTTCCTTTATCAGCTGCTCAGCTACACTGGGCTTGCCCCGGGGTTTACTCCCAGGAGGAGTGGAGGGAAGCCAAGAGGGTGAGGGCATAGATCAGACTCTTCCCAGCTGGGTAGACTCACTTTCTAAACTAAAGCATAAATTCTTTTGTAGCTGGCAGGACTGTGTTGGTCAGCAGATCCCTGGGCATTTTCTGAGCAGTGGGCAGGGGGCGAAGAGAGAATGGGCATCCAAAAATCTGTGGTTAGAGGCCTTTTGATTTTCTTCCCACAACATTTTCTTTTGCTTTCTGTGAGTAATAATACAAGTAGGATTAGCTCATCATATGGTTTGGCTCTGTGTCCCCACCCAAATCTCACCTTGAATTGCAATCCCTATAATCCCCACATGTCAAGGGTGGGACCAGGCGGAGGTCATTGAATCATGGCTAGTGAGTGAGTCTCATGAGATCTGATGGTTTTATAAGCATCTGACATTTCCCCAACTTGCACTCGTTCTCTCTCCTGCTGCCCTGTGAAGAGGTGCCTTCTGCCATGATTGTAAGTTTCCTGAGGCTTCCCTAGCCATGTGGAACTGTGTGTCAATTAAACCTCTTTTCTTTTTTTCTTTTCTTTTCTTTTTTTTTTTTTTGAGATGGAGTCTCACTCTGTTTCCCAGGCTGGAGTGCAGTGGCACAGTCTCGGCTCACTGAAACCTCCACCACCCTTGTTCAAGCAATTCTTCTGCCTCAGCCTCCCGAGTAGCTGGGATTACAGGCGCCTGCCACCACACCCAGCTAATTTTTGTATTTTTAGTAGAGATGGGGTTTCGCCATATTGGCTAGGCTGGTCTCAAACTCCTGACCTCAGGTGATCCATCGCCTTGATCTCCCAAAGTGCTGAGATTACAGGTGTGAACCACCACGCCCAGCCTGAACCTCTTCTTTCTCAATTACCCAGTCTCAGGTATTTATTTGTAACAGTGTGAGAACAGACTAATACAGCTCATTACGCTGCAGCAGTTACTGAACATCTGCTGTGAAGCCTGCAGGTAGTTTGTCATTTTTTGAAAGAAGAAACTGAAGTTCAAAGAGGTTAAAGTACCATGCTGGGATTTGAACCTAGACCCTCCGATTCCGGAGCCCAAAGGAGCTTAATTCTGAGGTTCCTTCTGTTGGCCTCTCAAAACTGATTTTGTAGTCAGGATTATAGCAGTATTATCATATTTTCCCACTTTTTTTCCTCATTAAAAAATAGAATTGATGGGGATGGGGGGCTCTTTTCCGAAAAACTGCCCACCCAGCATTTCTGTTTTTTTAATGGGAAACAAAGATAAGTAGAAAGTGTTGTTAATGCCTTTGATTATAGAATCAGTTTACAAAATGTAGAAGAAATCACAGCATTAGGGAATTAGAATTTTACAAATACCATTGTCGTAACAGATTCAGGCAAACACCAGTGGATGCTGAGAGCATTGAGTGAAAGGTTTTTGGGGAACTGGCTAGTCACACAATCTGGAAGTATCAGCCCACAGATTGCTTATTAATTAAGAGGAAAACATTTATTTACAGTGAGGAAACCTGGCAGATACCAAAATAACCAAGTCATAAAATTTGCCACCAAAAATAAAGGTACAACCCGGCCTGCACTTCCTGAAGTGACGAGCTGAGGAGGGACACGCCATCACCTTGTGGTATTCTTACTAGAAATATTTAATTTGGAGATCTAATCATTAGGAAACAGTCAAATCCAGATTGAGGGGCATGGTCAGAACATCTGGATTGGACTCTTTAAAAAGGTCAGTGTTGTGATGAATGGACCGGAAGTGACTGAGGAACTATTCTAGATCAAAGGAGACTAATGAGACATGACAGCTAAGCATGATGCCGACAGCCCCGATTGAATCCTGGACACAAAACTAAACAAGTTAAACAGCTATTAAAGTCATCACCACAGATACCTGAAAATGGACCATCTATTAAAGAACACAGGGTTAAATTTCTTGAGGATAAGTAAATGAATTGTGGCCACGTAGCTAGCCTTGTTCTTAGGAGGGACCGTGGAAGTATTTAAGAATAAAATGTCATGTGTTTGCAGTTTACTCTTAATTGGTTCAGCAAAAATAAATACATATAGAAAGGACAAAATGTTGACAAATCTAAATAAAAGGTCCATGAGTGTTCTCACAGTATTGGAACTGCTCTATGGGTTTGAAAATTCTCAGGATGAAAGTGGAAAGAATAGAATTGTTTATTAAAGTAGCCAGACTCAAGCAGTGTGGAAACAGAAGTTCCTGTTAAAGAATAACAGTGGGGGAAGTTTCTCAAGAAAATAGTTGGAAGCAGGGATCACAGATGGGCTTTCACTGGATTGCCATCTCTGACAGTTAGTACTGGCGGCCAGACGTGGAAGTGCGTGGGAGCGTGGCCGCATCCGTGACTTACTAGCAGTGTTTGCCCAGGGCCTGGGACATGGGAGTGGTGGGGCATGTCCCAAATGTGCTTTGATATTTACAGCGTTACAGTCTAATTATTCTTCACTCTTTTCAGTCACTGCCTCCTCTGACCGGCCCTTTATTGTGAAGCCTACATTTCCTTTGGCGTGAAACTGGGCCAGAGCTCCTCAGATCCTTAAAAGTCAAGTGTCTGAGGCAGCTTTAGGTCAGGGTCTTTGAGCCCTATCAGGCTTTAGGGGTGGAGTATGGGGAGAAGGCCCTTTCTCCTAGGAGGGGACTCCTATATAACTTTCGCCAGATTCTGTAAAAGATTTAAGACCTAAAACTCCAGTCCTTTGCAAGTTGGTGGCGGGCTTTCGTTCTGCTGTCCTCCTGCCCGATCGGCAGGGTCGGGCTCCTCTGCCCGGCTCTTCTCTGTGCTGGTGTAATGACGCCACCGCGAGCGGCTTCTCTTCCTAGTCCAAAAGGTTCCCCCTTTGCTCCTGAGGGCGTGTGGATTTTTGCATCAAGAGCAGGTAATTTTCTACTCTCTTTAAGAGGTGAAAGGAGCCTGATCATAGTATGTGCTCAATAAATATTGTTGAATGGATGGTTGAAATAATTACACACTTCTTTTCCCAAACAGCTTTCCCGTTGAAATTAGTTGGTGTTCTTATTTAGTGTTCTTTGAATAGAATCACATGGATTGGTTTCCTTGGCTACCTGTTCAGCTTTCCTTTCCCTACTCCTTTCCCTACTCCTTTCCTACTCCTTTTCCTACTCCTTTCCTACTCCTTTCCCTACTCCTTTCCCTACTCCTTTCCTACTCCTTTCCCTACTCCTTTCCTACTCCTTTCCTACTCCTTTCCCTACTCCTTTCCCTACTCCTTTCCCTACTCCTTTCCCTACTCCTTTCCCTACTCCTTTCCCTACTCCTTTCCCTACTCCTTCCCTACTCCTTCCCCTACTCCTTTCCTACTCCTTTCCCTACTCCTTTCCTACTCCTTTCCCTACTCCTTTCCTACTCCTTTCCCTACTCCTTTCCCTACTCCTTTCCCTACTCCTTTTCCAGCTTGAGTCTTCAAGAGGGAGCCTCAACTGATTTCTAAAACCGTTTGTACCTGGTGTGATTATAAAGCAATGAGACTGATTGTCATATGTCGTTTGTGGGATCCGTCTCAGTTACTTTATAGCCATACCTGGTATCTTATACCACAGATCATGGCCCGTTGAACAACATTTTAAGAGATTTCTAAAGGGAAATTTAAAGCGGTTTAGCATTATTTTGTGATTGTCTCTAATTTACTGATCACAACTCTTATTTCAGAAAGGTAATTAGATATTAATTAGATGTTTATTGCTTGCTTTAATTTTATAGTTTTTTGTAGATTTTTAATCGGTATTCTGGTAAACTGCTGTTCTAATAAAGTGGCTGTAACAATTTTGAGTAAGGTAGTAAAAAGGTATATGTTCCATTGGGTTACATTTTCCATAAAACTCCTTTTACTGTTGTATTTCTCTTCTTTTTTTTGAGGGTCTTGCTCTGTCACCCAGGCTGGCGTGCAGTGGCGTGATCTCAGCTCACTGCAGCCTCAACTTCCTGGACTCCAGTGATCCTCCCACCTCAGCCTCCTGAGTATCTGGGACCACAGACATGTGCCACCATGCCTAGCTAATGTTCCTGTTTTTGTGAGAGACAGGGTTTCACCATGTTGCCCAGGCTGGTCTTGGACTCCTGAGCTCAAGCAATCCACCTGCCCTGGCTTCCCAAAGTGCTGGGATTATAGGCATGAGCCACCACGCCCAGCCCTGTTGAATTTCTTTTCAGTTGCGTGTAGTCTTCTGTGACTGCATGTAACACAAAGATGGTTCTTTTAGCTAAATATGGTAAATGAAACATGTAAAACCAAATATTTCAATGTGTTATTCATTGAAGAAGGATTGAAAAGGACAAGTTTTGGGGACTTCTGCTTGATTGTTTTGTTGGTTTACATTGATATGTACAAACCTTATTCAAATTCAAATAAGTGGTTATAATTTTCTCTTTCCCAAAATAAAATATTTATTTCCCTTCTAATGACCCCTAGTCTCTCTCAGGGGCTCTCTGGAGAAGGCAAATGTAGAAGCTACATGTTGCCACCGGCAGCTTCAGCTTATGAAAGGACAATCGCTGATAGATTGATAGAAGTTTCTCTGTTTCCTTAAAAGACAGTGGGAAGTTATTTCCTTTGTGGAGGAGGAAAGGGATAGCAGTTTCCTGCTGTCCATAGGAAGAGGTATTCAATTCCTTCACTGTTACTACTTCTGGAAATTATGTAGGGGAAAGGTCTAGGTAACTATAAGGCAACTTAAGACTGTCCTCGTAATTAACTTGCATAGCCTGTGCTTGTGGGCAGACCTCTGGACAACTGTTAGAGGCTGGAGGTATTTCGATGCCAAACTGGTCCAGAATGTTGAAGCCTGGACCTGTCTCTGGAACGTTTGATTTCCAGAAGAGTTCTGGGGTAAACTAGCAAGGAGCCTCAACTCCACTCAAGTCTGGACATAAGACCCAAGTTAGTTTCAGATGTCACTAATAAAAGGTGGCACCATTTGGCACTTTGTAGCTCTGTTACCAGCTGTGTGTCCCCTGTCTCAGTGAGATTAGAAAGCTTGGTATCCTGTACTTGTTTTTGTTCCTGGCACTAGTTCTACAGACAGTGGGTACTCCATGAATGTTCCTAGATTAGTGCAAGAAGTACCAATTTATGCTATAAAAACAGCACTTTACTCCATTTCTTAAGGAATTAAGACTTTCTGAAGATCATTTTAAAATAGAAAAGGTTTTACAGTGTAAATCTACCATGATGTTGATACACTTCTCTTGCTGTATAATGTTATGTTGCTGTCTGTTGTCACATTTGGCTGGTTTAATAATCTTTTTTTAAAAATGTAGTTGTCAGACAAGTTAATATGGTTCTTAACACTGCAGTCGTTCTATGCCTTATGTCTGTTTAAGTCTTAAGTACCACACAACAAATTACATGTTCCTACTTGGTGCCAGCATACCCAGCTGCATCTACATTTCAGTTGAGAAGTGGAGTTTGCATACCCTTTCCATTACCAGACATTATAGTAGTTACCTAAGTAGCGTGTTGATACATTTGATGTTTCCATAAGTTTTAAATGTCACTTGAGTTATATATTTATTTTATATTGCAGGCACTGGAGATATTATTGCTGTCATGATAACAGAATTGAGGGGTAAGGATATTTTGAGTTATCTGGAGAAAAACATCTCTGTACAAATGACAATAGCTGTTGGAACTCGAATGCCACCGAAGAACTTCAGCCGTGGCTCTCTAGTCTTCGTGTCAATATCCTTTATTGTTTTGATGATTATTTCTTCAGCATGGCTCATATTCTACTTCATTCAGAAGATCAGGTACACAAATGCACGCGACAGGAACCAGGTGAGCTCAGTACTCAACAGTGATTGGTTCGTAACAGCCAGAGTTCACAGTCATCTGTCGTGACCATGCATCTTACTAACATGTTTTTTCTTTTAAAAAATGTTGTTACCCTCACTCAGTCATTTTAATATGTTGGAAACGTCTACATGAGTATTTAAGGGATATTTAAAATAACCTAAAAGGTACTAAATTTATTGTGATCACCTAGAATATTCTAGTCAGGTAGATAGCTTGATATCATAGTATTATCTAGATAATTCTGTTAATTTGGAGAAATAGCACAAAGTTGCATTTTTAAACCAGTAACTTTGGATGTTTCTGCAAATGGGAACTTGGAGGGGGGTTAGGGAGACTTCACTCTTCCCCTTCCTATGTGAAATTCTTTCCCATGTGAATTTTGAACTGGGAAAGTATTATCTATTCAGAAAATGAAATCAATGAAAAACCTCTGTCATCTAAGCTCAGACATGGGGTAAGGGTGAGTGGGGGAAGACCAATAGAAGATGTCTGTCTATGTAGTCATCCTAGGAGTTCCACTGACAGCGCATCTATTTTGGTTGAGTGAATAAACCTAGGAAAAGCAGTGTGCTTCCCCGGTGTGAGGGCCTGGAGATGGTGGCCCTCAGTTGGTGACTGAGTTTGATTGATGTGCTGTGGACAGAATACACACCCTAGGTGCCAGGTTCCAGGTGTTAGGTCCCTCTCCTAGACTTTTTGTGTAGAAAACTAAGAAGTGACTTGCTTGGAGAGTGATTTGAAGCCAGTTTTTGTATAACGCTGTCTTCTCCTAACATGGTACATTCAAATTCCTGTGGGGATGGGCACACTGGGATTTTTATCCTTCCTCTTTCTAGCGGAAAAAGCGCAGACTTTGGCATGGAACAGGTCTCAGCTCACATCCCTCCTGCACCACCAGTTCACCATGACCCCTCACCCTGTTGGACAGTTTCTTGAGCATCTCAGCTTCTTTCTCATCTGAAAGTAGATATAAAACACCCAAACGCTGACTGTGAAAGTAGATATAAAATACCCAAACGCTGACTGTGGAAGTACATATAAAATACCCAAACACTGACTGCAGTTTATTGAAGCTTTCTGTGCCAGGCTCTCCCTGTGCACTTTTAATTTTTTTTATTTTGAAAATTTTTATATTTGTAATTTTAGACTTAACAAAAAATTTGTAAGATAAGTGGCAAGTATTCCCTTCACTCAGATGCTACAGCTGTTAATGTTTTACTGTATTTCCTTTTCTATGTAACTATACTTTTTTAATTTAAAAAACTTTTTTTTTTTTAAGAGACAGGGTCTTGCCCTGTCACCCAGGCTGGAGTGTGGTGGCAGTCATGGCTCACTGCAGCCTCCAGCTCCTGGGCTGAAGCTATCCTCTGGCCTCAATCTTCTGAGTAGCTAGGACTGAAGGTATGCACCACCATGACTGGCTAATTTTTTAATTTTTTTGCACAGGCCAGGTCTTGCAGTGTTGGCCAGGCTGGTCTCAAACTCTTGGGCTCAAAGGATCCGCCCACCTTGGCCTCCCAAAGTGTCAGGATTATGGGTGTGAACACCACCCTCAACCTTTGTATATATACCTTAACAAAACTATTTGAGAGTAAGTTTGAGATATGATGCCCTGTTACCCTTAAATACTTTGTTATATATTTTATAAAAACAAGAACATTCTCTTACATAACCATAGTGTGGTTATCAAAATCAGTAAATTAACATTGATATAATACATTATCTGATTGATAGACCTTTTTTGGGTTTTGTAAAACTGGCTCAATAATGACCTTTATAGCAAAGAAAATCCTGGATTGATTGGAGCTCATTGGATTTTGCATTCAGTTGTCTCTTCTTACTTGGTTTTATGACATGGACGTTTCTGAAAAGTACAGATCAATTATTTTGTATTTGAGTTTATCCGACGTGTTGTGTTCCTTCGTGATTAGTTTCAGGTTATATGCGTTTTGTGAAAATGTAGATTTGCTTGCATTTGTAAGAGATAATACAAATACAAAGATGTCTCTTATCCCCTTCACTCATTTCTCCTTGTGGTAACAACATGTATAACTGTGGTCAGTATCATAACCTGGAAATTGGCATGGATGCAATCCACTGATCTTCCTAAATACACTGAAATCTCCCCACCTCTCCAGTTTAATGTGTACTTATTTGTGTATGTGTGTGTCTGTCTTTAGTCTGTGTAGTTTTATCGCATGTGTAGATTCACATGACCAACAACACGGTCAGGATACAGACCAGTTCCATCACAAGGAACCCTTGTGCTACTCTTTTATAACCACAGCCACCTCCCTCCTTCCCCCTTCCCTAATCTACCAGGAATCTGTTTCTCATCTCTATAGTTTTGTCATTTCAAGAATGTTAAATAGGTGGAATCATGGGCCAGGCACGGTGGCTCACACCTGTAATCCCGGCACTTTGGGAAGCCAAGGCAGGTGGATCACTTGAGGTCAGGAGTTCAAGACCAGCCTGGCCAACATGGCAAACCCCATCTCCACTAAAAATACAAAAATGTAGCTGGGCAAGGTGCCATGCGCCTGTAGTCCCATCCATTCAGGAGGCTGAAGCACGAGAATTGCTTGAACTTGGGAGGCAGAGGCTGCAGTGAGCCATGATCGTACCACTGCACTCCAGCCTGGGTGACAGAGTGAGACTCTGTTTCAAAAAAATAAAGAAAAAAATGTTATATAGGTGGAATCATATAGTATGTAACCTCTAGAGTTTGGAATTCTTCACTTCCTCACTCAGCATAATTACCTTGAGATACTTTTTTTTTTTTTTTTTTTTTTTTTTTTGAGATGTAGTCTCACTGTCGCCGAGGCTGGAGTGCAGCGGCTGGATCTCAGCTTACTGCAAGCTCCGCCTCCCAGGTTCACGCCATTCTCCTGCCTCAGCCTCCGGAGTAGCTGGGACTACAGGTGCCTGCCACCGTGCCTGGCTAATTTTTTGTATTTTTAGTAGAGATGGGGTTTCACCGTGTTAGCCAGGATGGTCTCGATCTCCTGACCTTGTGATCCGCCCACCTCAGCCTCCCAAAGTGCTGGGATTACAGGCGTGAGCCACTGCGCCCGGCCAAGATACTTTCAAGTTGTTATGTGTATCAGTCATTTATTCCTTTTTATGGCCGAACTATATCCCATGGTTTGGATGTACCACCGTTTGTTTAATTGCTCGCTCATTGAAGGATATCTGGGATGTTTTCAGATTTTGGCTATTACAAATAAAGCAGCTGTGAACAATCACATACAGGTTTTGGTGTAAACATGAGTTTTCGTTTCCCTGGGATAAATGTGTAATTTCTGAGTTCAGTGTAAATTCCAAGAGTGAAGTTTTTGGGCTGTTAAGATAAGTGCATATTTAGTTCTGTAGGAAACTGTTAGACTCATTTTGCAAAGTGGCCATACCATTTTGCATTCCTGCTAGAAATGTATGACTGATCCAGTTCCTCCACACTCTCGACAGCACTTGGTGTTTTCATCTCTTGTGATTGTTGAGTTGTGTAGTAACATCTCTTGTGGTTTTAGTTTGCATTTCTCTAATTAGACATTTTTTATGTGCTTGTTTGCCATCCGTATATCCTCTTCAGTGAAATATCCATTCATGTCTTTTGCCCATTTTCTACCTAGATTGTTTTTCACTGTTGAATTTTGAGAGCTTTTTATGTATTCCAGATACAAGTCCTTCGTCAAATATGTGGCTTGCAGAGATTATCTCCCAGTCTGTATTTTGTTTTGTTCAACCTCTTAACAAGGTCTTTGAAAAGCAAAAATTTCTAATTTTTATGGTTTATTAATTTTTTCTTTTATGAATTGTGCTTTTGGTGTCAAGTCTAAAAATTCTTTACTTATCCCTAGATATCCCAAAGATTTTCTACTATTTTTCCTGGAAGTTTTATATTATGTTTTACATTTAAGTCTGTGATTAGTTTATTTGAAGGCTTTCCTGTTTTCTAATGTAAGAATTAAGTGCTATAAATTTCTCTCTCAGCACTTCTTTAAGGCTATGCCTCACATATTTTGATATGCTGTATTTTCATTTTCATTCAGTCCTATGTATTTTTTTCTTTTGAGACTTCTTCTTTTACCCATACATTACTGAGAAGTATGTTATTGAATTTCCAGTAGTTTAGATATTTTACTTTTTTTTTTTTCCTTTTGAGAGAGGGTCTTACTCTGTCACCCAGGCTGGAGTGCAGTGATACGATCTCAGCTCACTGCAACCTCCACCTCCCGGGTTCAAGTGATTCTCTGACCTCTGCCTCCCGAGTAGCTGCGATTACAGGCGCATGCCACCGTGTCCGGCTAACTTGTATTTTTTGGTAGAGATGAGGTTTCACTGTGTTGCCCAGGCTGGTCTTGAACTCCTGACCTCAAGCGATCTGTGCACCTCAGCCTCCCAAAGTGCTGGGATTACAGACATGAGCCACTGTGTCCTGCCAAGATTTTACTATTATCTTAGTGTTACTGATTTCTGGTTTGATTCCATTATGCTCAGAGAAATACTCTATGATTTCAGTTCTCTTCTGTTTCTTGAAGTTTGTTTTATGATGTAGGATGTAGTTTGTCTTAGTCAGTGTTTCATTGGTGCTTAGAAAAAATATTCTGCTGTTGGGTGGCATGTTCTCTGGGTGTTAATTAGACCAGTGGGCACAGCTTTTCTTCCTGAGGAGCCGGGCTGGGAGAGCCTATTCCCACTGGGCTCTGTGAGACCAGGGTGGGAGGAGGATTGTGATTTTGCCCTTGGCGCCTGGCTGGAGTAGAATGAATATTACTGCAAGTGTTTTCTGATGTTAGGCCATCCTTCTCTTGGTACTTTGGCTAGCGGAGTTGGGCTTTTCTCGGCTTTTTCTGGGGTCGGGTGGTGGGCTGCTCTGGTCCTGTTGGCTGTTCCAGGTTGGAGGCTTCTGCAGCACATTGTCAGGAATCTATGGGGGAAGTAAGGAAGCTTGGAAGCCACCACCCGTTTCTCATGTCTTGAGGGCCCCAGGCAGCCCACCTCCTTTTCCCTCCTATAACATGTAATATACCTGTTAAAAAAAAAAAAAAAAAAAACTAAAAGATTTGTTTTTAAAATATGTTGACATACGAAACACTGAAAGTAAAATGAGAAGGAGCTGCTCTGGAGTGGTGTTGTTGACAGGCAAGCCTGTGTTAGTGGACTGGGTGTAGCTCACCCTGAGGACGTTGGAACAAAGGCTCACGGTTGTCCCAGGAGCCTGCTATTGGAAGATAGTGCTTTAATTAGCACCCAGTGTGGGGCCGGGGCTGATGAAGGAGGAAACATAATCACCATCTGGTGCAGGCCACAAACTGCGAGCTTGTTTCCTAGCATTTATTTTGCGGCTGACTGCATGCAGGATCCTTCCAAAGCGTCTCTCCAGATGCTACTGTGGTGGAAAGTGATGTTCTGACCTTTTTTCCTCCTTCCGTTTTCCCCAAGGTTGACAAATGCTTGATGAAATTTTTATGTGGCTTAAAAAGCTTAGCTTATTAAAGTTTAATAAGAAGGTGGCAGCAGCTAGACTGGTTGAAACCTTTGGCTATTTTAAAAGAGAAGCCATAATATTAGCAAAGGAAAACCAGTGAGTTTAAGGACAGACTCTGATTTTCTCTCACAAACTGTTTTTGTTTTTGTTTTTTGAGACTGGGTCTCACTCTGTCACCCAGGCTGGAGTGCAGTGGCGCGATCTTGGCTCACTGCAACCTCTGCCTCCTCGGCTTAAGCAATTCTCCTGCCTCAGCCTCACACGTAGCTGGGACTAAAGATGTGTGTCACCATGCCTGGCTAATTTTTGTATTTTTAGTAGAGATGGGATTTCACCATGTTGGCCAGGCTGGTCTCAAACTCCTTACCTCATGTGATCCTCCTGCCTCAGCCTCCCAAAGTGCTGGAATGACAGGCATGAACCTCCACACCTGGCCCCCACAAACTGTTATCATGAAGCAGTTCTTCCTGTAGAACATGCTACCAAAGAGATCCATATATTGTAAATAACTTTCTAAGCATAGTAAAATGCTCACAATTGAGAACATTTTGCATGTGATATAAGAATCTAATGCTTTGGCTTTTCAGTTCATGACTAAGTGTCTGTGGTTTGCTCTTCCTGGAAAACTGTCAGAATGTATCTAATTACTATCTATAGGTGTAGATAGTTCAAACTACCACTGATGGTAAACTTAAATGTCGCTGTCAAATTAAGTCACTGATAGTTATTTTACACAAAACGGTAGATGTTTGTTACCTTTATTTTGAATAAATGCTTAAGGATTTTCTGAAAAATGTAAAATGTTTAACAGTTACATGGTTAATATTGCACCTTTAATTTCAAAGTGGTCAAATTTAATTTCTAAAGCAGAACAATGAAATTTTCATTTTACTGTTTAGGAACGGGGCAGATGTAAAATATTCTGCCACTTAATGGACTCCTGAATATTTAGAATGTATTCTTAAAACTTCCCAGTGAAAATGCATGTGCTTTTTAAGGTATTTAAAATTTGTAAAAGCTTCTTGCCATAACATGTGTATATAATATTCTTTGACTTTATAAGTATCTCAGGGTTGCTGAAATGAAATACACTCTTATTGCCCATTTTCATCATGAAAGGTCAGTAGCTAATTGGAGAATGCATTTGCCTGTCAGAATGTGGAAATATATGGAACATTCCTGTGTCAGAGAAAGGTTAAAACTTTGCATGAGTACAGTTAATCTTTGAAAACTGGTGGGTTCAAAAGGTTTTTTTTTTTCTTCCACATTGGAAGAGAGGAAGTATTGTATATACTGCCAAGATTTGTCCTACAGAAAAGGATTATATGGCCCCAAAACAGACTTCTTTTGTCATTTTAGATGGCAGAGTGAATTTTGTTCATTATGTTTCTTAAGGATTAACAATTCCAGAAGAACTGGAAAGGGGAAATAGATGTTTGAGCTGAGAAGTTATTATCTTACCAGTTTTAAAAAAATACTGCAAATACTCTGATACCTTGTTTTTCATGTCCTGCCATTTTGTAAATAAATAACACTTTTCATATACAGAGACTGTATTATATACCTTCTAAATATTACATGTCAGGGGCTTAAGATCTGATTTTTTTAAAGCACAAAATATGCTCTTAAGATCATAGTGTTTGCAAGATAATTCATTTCTATATCCTTGGGGTTTAGCATGGGGCCTGGCACATCACACTGCCTCAGTAAATATTTCAATGAATTCAAGAATGAGCTTACCTTCTGTTGCAATGACAGATGCAGTCAAAATACTGTGTGGTATAGGAGTTATTCTTTGGGGGCAGAGTGATATTACTCTCAGGGAGTCAAGGACACTTCACAGAGAAGGTAGGTTGTGACCTTGGAGCTGAATTTTAAAGGATGAATTAAGACTTCATCAGATGGAGATGAAGGAGAGTCAGGCAAATGGATCATTTTCCACAGAGAGATGAAAGAGTTGAATGACTGAAACATCAGGAATAGTGGGCAGGAGACTTGTGAGTGTTGAGCTGATATTAGATGAATAAATTGTCACTAGACTATGAAGGGCATGAATCACATAAGAAAGTTAGGCTTTATTCTATAATCAATATGGTTTCTGTTGGTGTTGTTGTTGTTGTTTTTCTGAGACAGAGGCTTGTTCTGTCGCCCAGGCTGGAGTACAGTGGCTCGATTAACAGCTCACTGCAAGCTCCGCCTCCCAGGTTCAGACCATTCTCCTGCCTCAGCCTCCTGAGTAGCTGGAATTACAGGTGCCCACCACCAGGCCCGACTAATTTTTGTATTTTTAGTAGAGACGGGGTTTCGCCATGTTGGCCAGGCTGGTTTCAAACTCCTGACCATAGGTGATCCACCCGCCTCGGCCTCCCAAAGTGCTGGGATTACAGGCACGAGCCACCACGCCGGGCCATCAGTACGGTTTTTTAGCAGTGGAGTGATATACAATTCTTTTCTGGTGCGAGAGACTTAGGGAGAAGGAGCTATGAAAAGAGGAAATATTGAAGAGCAAAGGAAGATGATATTAATAAAATAAGGTTATGTAGAGAGGAGAGGAGTGATCTGGGCACAGGCAGATGGTGTCTTGCAAAAGAGTTAACAGAGGCTTCTTTTGAGAAAAAAAAATGGGAAAAAATGGTGGTGAATGAATGAAGGAGGGTGCAGACTACAAGGCACTTTGCATTGGGGAAAGATTTTATACCTAGATTTCACCAGTGTTTACAAAAAGAAAACCCTACTCTGTGCAGATACAGACTTACTCTAATTCTGTGAGAGAGTTCTGATTGCCGAATGGCAAAACCTGAGATGAATTTCATCAAAGTGACCTATCCTCAATATACTCTGAACCATTTGGCTTTGAACCAACTATTCCTATTAGATTAAGCCGTAAGAATTGTTTTAACTTGTTTTCTGCCAATTCAAACATTTTGTCACTTTGCTTTCAAATATAGAATGGTGTTTATTGTTGCAGCTTTGACCAGATGAGATAAGATAATCTGGCCCCTAACAAACCCCTCAAGCTGTATGCTATAGAAAGTCTTTTCAGCATTTTATAGTGGAGGAAGAACTGAAGTGGAAAGGAGATCTATGGTCCTAGTCCGAATACTTTTAGTAACTTCAGACAGATCTCCTCATCTCTTTCTGGGGCTTGGTTTTTCTCCTTTGTAAAATGATGCCTTTCTGTGGTTTTGTCATTTCTAACATTCTGTGTGTGATGAGGTGTAAATTTGAGGAGTTTTATTATTAAAGGAATAGGGCACAGTGTGAAGTACGGAGAATATCAGTGAGTGGGTAGCGTATTACGGGAAAATGCTTTGAAACCAGGGTTTGTACTTCATTTAGTGAGTCTCAAACTTTAGTATACAAAAGAATCATGTGAGAGCTCCTTTTAGGGGCTGGAGCACTTTTTAAAATTGCAAATTTCCAAGATCGTTCCTCCCCTTAATTCAGCAAGTCTGGATAGGGCCTACTTACTAGCCTTTGATGTGGGCAAATTATTTAATCTCTGCCTCAATCTCCTCTTCTGTAAAATGGGATATTATAGTTCTTTTCTCATAAAATGATTGTGACGATAACACGAGTCAGTACTTGTGAAGGGCTTAGAACAGTACCTAGCACATGGTATGTACCGAATAAACCTTAGTTAGTATAGATTTTATTATTATATATTACTAAGCATTCAAGGTAGATTTAATGCATCTGCCCCATGGACCACACCTTGAAAAACAGTGACTTAATGGCATGGTGTTTAGGTGAAGGTAAGAGACTTTAATAAAAAGTGATCTTCATGGAAGAATTTTGTACCTCATCGTAGGTACTTGAGAGTTAGCCGGATGCAAATAGACTTAGAATGAAAAATTTTAAAAAAATAGTGGCTTTTAGACAGATTCCAGGAAGAGATCAAATTGTACACACATACATAGACACTTATACCTGTCACAGGTTTACCTGTCGCAAAGTGATGGGAAATGTTAAAGGACTGATTAAAAACTCAAAGGATAATTCAGAAGAAGGTAGTAATACTGAAGCCAAGTCCAAAGAAAAATTACAGTGAAGGTATTGACATTAATACCTAACACAGAGAAGAGATATTTTGTCCTTGTGCTATAAGAGGTGTTCAAAGTTCAGAGGTGGAAAATATGATCTACCTAAATATTTGTAGGTCTCTGATTAGATAACCTACATGCATTCACGTCAGCTTGCTGAAGACTGGACTGCTTCCACCAGCACCTGCTCTCTGCTTTTGGCTATTCCATAATGCAGTGTGATGGCAGGCGCTCTCACACGGCTCATCACCGAGCCAGAAGTCTGGGGGCACCTCTCCTCAAACCCCCCTCTTCGTGCCTCCATGTCAGTCATGAGGTTCTGTCGGTTTTACCTGCTAAATCTTTCTTGACTTTGCGCTCTTCTTTCTTTACCTACTGCTGCTTGCCTAATTCAGGCCCTTCTTGTCTCTGAAATATTAGAGACCCTACCTGGACATCCTGTGGAGGCAAGATTTTAATTCTCCAAGCCTCAAATAGCATCAGGAACTTTTCTGTTCAGAACTCTTTGGTAGAATTCTGATCTGAACAGAATGGAAGCAATGAGATTCTTGTAAAATCTCCTCAAATTCCTTAATAATAATAATAATAACAACCCAGATCTGAGTTACCTTAGGAAAATGACCCATTAGAAATCCTTAGAACTTGTCCTCCTTGCAAAAAAAGCCTGAACAATAAATAAACAACTTAATGAAAATAACAGAGGGAGAGTACAGGGGTGCATCCGAGGAATGACAGAAGCTCTGGAGAGCACAGACGTTTGAGATAGCCACATAGAGATGGGAAGGAAACACTGGGCCTCCACTGTCCCATCCTCTAACCAGGATCAGCTGGGAACCAGGAAGAGCTCACTGTGGTGAGGAGGTAAGTGAGAGGATCCCAGCAGCCCCTTCAACACTGTGGATACCTACAGACCTCACCACCAGGGTTCCCACCAGTCCTCACAGGCACTAAGCCCAGCTGAGTCCACCCGGCTATGCACCCCACAGAGAAGGAGCTGACACTGTGCCTCAATCCCTGTGGCCCACACAGCTGCTGTGCTATACCATCTTGGAATTGGAGCTGTGACTGAAGTGTGTCTTGCTCCAGGGGTGAGTAGTCATGGCTCCCCTTTGTCCCTAAGGCTAAGCTGCCACCAAACCACCCCAGCACAGTGGCCCCACATCTCCAGGCTGAGCTGGGAGCAACTGTTGGCTCTGTTCCTCGGGGGCCAGCAGAGATGGAGCTGCTCCACCTGTTCTTCCCCCAGCTGCTTTGGACTGGAGCTGAAGCAGTATCCTGCCTTTTGGGAAAACAGTACCTTGAACACTCAGAGCAATCATGCCTCCCCAGTGTCTCAGTTGAAGCAGCGCCACGCCTCCCAGGAAGTGGTGCATTGGCCATCCAGAGTGATCACACATCCCAGTACCTAAGCTGAAGCAGCTCCCAGCATCACAGGGAAATGGTGCCTGGCCCACCCAAAAGAGTATGCTCCCTGGGCCTGAGCTGAAGCAGCACATTATCCTTTGGGGAGTTGGTGCCTTGGCCAGACTGAGCAGTTGTGCATGCCAGGGATGAGCTGATATAGTACACCATGTCCCAGAGAAATAGAGCGGTGACTGAGCTGAGACACCTTGCCCTTACAGGCCGTAGAACTCTAGTACCCTGCTTGCTTGAACCTGTACTAGTCTTCAAGAAGCTCAGCTGCTTAGATAACCTTCCTCTTGGAGAGTGGAATTATCACTGTGCTATCCTCCCCTCCCATGCTGGGTCCACACAACAGCTCTGCTCCCCTAAGCTAGGATACTTGCTGTCATTGCACTGGACTTCACAGATCTAAGATACTGCTGAGCCCTGCCATCCCAGGGTCTATAGTCAATACTGTATGGTGCTTCATTCCATGGGACCTAAGTTGCCACTGAGCCCTGCTGACTCATGTTCCTGAATTGCAGCCAGACCCTTGACCCAAACTTCCAGAATGCCCCTTCTACCTAGTCAGGCCAGTGTTATGCCCTAATTCCCAGGGATAGAATCACAGCTACAAAGTAGACTCTTAGGTCCAAGCTACCAGTGGGTACCTGACAGTCACAGATCCTGACCATGTGGGTAACATATCCCACTTTGCCACAGGTGCCACAAATACATTTGTGAGACTCTGAGCCTAGGACATGGTCCCATTGTCATTCTGAGCACCTGCTCCTGGAATCCAGTGCTGCTGCAGCTGCTTGTGGGTAACATCAGACCTCACACCAAGAGGGATCACTTTGGCTAAGTCTCCTCATTGTGGGGAAAGCAAGAATAGTAGGTCCCCAAAGGCCTTTGAAAGGATAACAGCCTACACCACTGCAGCAGACATCCACAGCTTATACCACTGAGGCACCCATGGTTATTGCTGATGTTGAATTCAGCTGAAACTGCACAGAGACTGTACCACTGCACCTATCCAGAAATAGTCACCACACCCTTCCCAACTGGCACACTAAGATTAAACTGTAGGCGAAAATCTTTGTCCAGGAGAGCCACTCTAGAAAATTTGAAAGAAGTGATTGTTCCACCAGATGCACAGACATCAACACAGGGACGTGAGAAACATGAAATAAGGAAGTAGGACACCATCAAAGGAACGTAATTCCCTAGTAACACACTCCAATGGGAAAAAACTTAATGAATTGCCAGAAAAGGAATTCAAAATTATGATCGTATGGAAACTCAGAGAGATACAAGAAAACGTGTAGACAATCAATAGAGTTGGGGAAACAGTTCACAATATAAACAGGAAATTGAATAAAAGAGAAGTAAGAATCAAATCCTGCAGCTGAAGAATTCAATGAATGAAAAAACATACAGTGGAGAATTTCAGCAGCAAACTTGATCATATGTAAGAAAGAATCTCTCAACTTGAAGATAGGTTATTTGAAATTAACAAGTCAGAGACAAAAAAAAAGAAATAAGAATGAAAAATAATGAAGAACGCCTACAAAACTTATGGAACATTAGGCAAACAAATATTTGTATTATGGGTGTTCCAGAAGGAGAGAAGGGGAAAGGCATTAAAAAATCTATGTGATAAAATCTGAAAACTTCCCAAGTCTACGGAGATATATGGACAACAGATCCAGGTAGCCCAGTGGTTCCTAAATAAGAGTAAATCTGAAAACATCCTCCCCGTGTCACATTACAGTCAAATTGTCGAGAGTGAAAGAGTTCACAAAACAGCAAGAGAACAGCATCAAGTCACATAAGAGAATCCCTATTAGACTAAAAACAGATTTTTCCAGAGAAATCTTACAGCCTAGGAGAGAATGGAATGATAGAATTAAAGTGCTTAAAGCAGAAAATTGCCAGCCAAGAAAGAATACTGTGTCCATCAAAGCCATCCTTCAGAAATGGGGGTGAAATAGTCTTTCCTAGACAAAAATTGAGAAAGTTATACATCTTGAGAGAGTTTTACATTTTGAAAAGACAGTATTCACTACCAGGAAAACATGCAGGAGTATGAAAGTCACTGGTAGAGAGCAGATACACAAAGGAGAAAGAGAAGGGAATCAAATCTTAGCACTACAGTAAACCGCCAAACCTTAATGATAAACAATAGGAGAGAACAAAAATAACAAAGGATATATAAAACAACCAGAGGCAATTAAAAATTGATAGGAATAAGTCCTCACCTACCAGTAATAACCTTGAATGTAAGCAGATTAAATTTCACCACTTAAAAGACATAAACTGGTGAAATGAAATTTTTAAAAACCGTGACACAATTATATGCTACCTACAAGAAACTCACTTCACTTCTTTTTTTTCTTTTTTCCTTTTTTTGAGACGGAGTCTCGCTTGCTCGCCTAGGCTGGAGTGCAGTGGTGCAATCTTGGCTCACTGCAACCTTCGCCTCCCGGGTTCAAACAACTCTCCTGCCTCAGCCTCCTGAATAGATTACAGGTGCCTACCACCAAGCCCGGCTAATTTTTGTATTTTTAGTAGAGACAGGGTTTCACCGTGTTGGCCAGGCTGATCTCGAAATCCTGACCTCAGGTGATCCGCCCGTCTTGGTTTCCCAAAGTGCTGGGATTACAGGCGTAAGCCACCATGGCCGGCCAACTCACTTCACTTCTAAAGGCACATATAGGCTAAAAATGAAGGGGTGCAAAAAAGATATTCCATGCAAAGGGAAATAAAAACTAAGCAGGAGTGGCTGTACTTGTATCAGATAAAACAGGCCAGGCGTGGTGGCTCACGCTTGTAATCCCAGCACTTCGGGAGGCCGAGGCAGGTGATCACTTGAGGCCAGGAGTTTGAGACCAGCCTGGCCAACATGGTGAAACCCTGTCTCTACTAAAAATACAAAAATCAGCCCGGCATGGTGATACACACCTGTAATCCCAGCTACTCGGGAGTCTGAGGCAGAGAATCGCTTGAACCTGCAAGGCAGAGGCTGCAGTGAGTTGAGATCACACCACTGCACTCCAGCCTGGGTGACAAAGCGATATTCCATCTCAAAAAAAGAAAAAATAATAACAAAATAAAATAAAATATTGAAAAATAAAAGACAAAGAAGATCATAATATAATGATAAAGAGATCAGTTCAGCAAGAGGATATAATCATTGTAAATATATATACACCCAACACTGGAGCACTCAGATATATAAAACATATATATATATATATATATATATAAAAAATACTAGATCTAAAGAGAGAGATAAACTCTAATACAGTAATAGTTGGGGAATTCAACACCCCACTCTTAGCATTAGACAGATCATCTAGACAGAAAATAAAGAAACATTGGGTTTAAACTGCACTTTAGACCAAATGGAAGTAACACATTTACAATATATTTCATCCAACAGCTGCAAAACACACATTGTTTTCATCACCAGTAGAATATTCTTCAAGATTGGCCACATGTTAAGCCACAAAACAAGATTTGATATCAGCTAGGCACAGTTTTGCTTGCATGTAGTCCCAGCTACTTGGGAAGGTGAGGCAGAAAGGATCTCATGAGTCCAAGAGTTCAAGACCAGCCTGGGCAATATAGTGAGATGGCGTTTCTTAGTTTTAAGAACTTTTTAAAAATTAAAATCATACAAAGGATCTTTTCTGACCACAAATGAAATAAAGATAGAAATCAGTAACAATAGAAACTTTTGGAATTGTACAAATACATGGAAATTTACAAACGTGCTCCTAAACAACCAGTGGGTCAATGAGTAAATTAGGAAGGAGACTTTAAAATTTCTTCAGTAAAATGAAAAGAAAATACCAAAACCTATGGGATACAGCAAAAGCAGTTTGAAGAAGGAAGTTCATAGCAATTAACACCTACATCAAAACAATAGAGATTTGCAATAAACAATCTAATGAAGCATCTCAAGGAACTATAAAAGCAAAAACAGGCCAAGCACAGTGGCTCACGCCTCTAATCGCAGCACTTTGGGAGGCCAAGGTGGCGGATCACGAGGTCAAGAGATCAAGACCATCCTGGCCAACATGGTGAAACCCCGTCTCTACTAAAAATACAAAAATTACCTGGGTGTGGTGGCGCGCACCTGTAGTCTCAGCTACTCGGGAGGCTGAGGCAGGAGAATTGCTTGAACCCAGGAGGCAAAGGTTGCAGTGAGCCGAGATCACACCACTGTACTCCAGTCTGGTGACAGAGCAAGACTCTGTCTCAAAAAACAAGTGAAAACAAAGCAAACCCAAAGTCAGAAGAAGCAAAAAAAAATAATGAAGTTCAAATCAGGAATAAGTGAAATCAAGACTAAAGGGCCAGGCATGGTGGCTCATGCTTATAATCCCAGCACTTTGGGAGGCCAAGGTAGACTGATTGCTTGAGTCCAGGAGTTCAAGACTAGCCTGGGTAACATGGCAAAACCCCATCTCTACAAATAAAAATACAAACATAAGGCCACTCGCGGTGGCTCACACCTGTAATCCCAGCACTTTGGGAGACCGAAGCAGGCAGATCACGAGGTCAGGAGATCAAGACCATCCTGGCTAACACGGTGAAACCCCGTCTCTACTAAAAATAATAATAAATAAATTAGCCGGGTGTGGTGGTGGGAGTCTGTAGTCCCAGCTACTCGGGAGGCTGAGGCAGGAGAATGGCTTGAACCTGGGAGGCGGAGGTTGCAGTGAGCCGAGATTGCGCCAGTGCGCTCCAGCCTGGGTGACAGAGCGAGACTCCATCTCAAAAAAATATAATATAAATAAATAAATAAAACATAAGCCAGGCGTGTTGGTGTGCACCTGTAATCCCAGCTACTCAGGAGGCTGAGATGGAAGAATCACTTGAGCCCAGGAGGCAGAGGTTGCAGTGAGCCAAGATCACGCCACTGCACTCCAGCCTGGGCAACAGAGCAAGACCCTGTCTCCAAAAGAAATAAAATTTTAAAAAAGACTAAAAAACAATACAAATGATCAGTGAAATAAAAAGATTTGAAAAAATAAAATTGACAACCACTAGTAAATTTTCCCAGACACATATACCAACATAGATTCAAGAGGAAATAGAAAACCTGATCAAACAGACCAGTTATGAGTAATTAAAGTGAATCTGTAATTAAAAGTCTCCCATTAAAGAAAAGTCCAGCACTTGATTCCTTCACTGCAGAATTCTGCCAAACATTTAAAGAAGAGCTAATACCAATTCTTCTCATACTCCTCCAGAAAACTGAAGAGAAGGGAACTCTTCTGAACTCAATCCACAAGGCCAGCATTACCCTAATAGCAATACCACATGAGGATACAACAAAATAAAGAAAAATATAGACAAGTATCCTTGATGAACATAAATTTTTAAATCCCCAACGAAATACTAGCAAACTGAATCCAGCAACACATTGAAAAGAGCATTCATGATGAAAAAGTGGGATTTATCCCAGGGATGCAAGAATGGTTCAACATATGCAAATCCATAAATGCGATGCATCACATCAACAGAATGAAGAACAAAAACCATGTGGTAATGCCAGTAGATGCAGAAAAAGCATTTGATAAGTGGCTTCATGATATGAACTCTTAACAAGTTAGGTATAGAAAGAACATACTTCAACACAATAAAGGCCATATATGACTTACCCACAACCAACATCATACTGAACGTGGAAAAGCTGAAAACGTTTCCACTAAGATGTGGAAAAACACAGGATGCCCACTTTCACCACTTCTATTTAACATGTTATTACTGGAAGTCCTTTTAGGACTGATAAGTAAAGTTGCAGAATACAAAATTAACATACAGAAATCAGTTCTGTGTATATACACCAACAATTAACTCACTGAAAAATAAATCAAGAAGTCCATCTTATTTACAATAGCCACCAAAAAAGAATAAAATACATAGGAATAAATTTAGTCAAAGAGGTGAAACGTCTGCAAGGAAAACTAAAACACTGATGACAGAAATTGAAGAGGAAACAAAAACAGACATCCCATGTTCATGGATAGGAATAATTAATATTGTGAAAATGACAGTACTATCAGAAGTGACCTGCAGATTGAATGTAATCCCTATCAAAATGCCAGTGATATTATTCACAGAAATAGAAAACACAATCTTTGTATGGGTTTTTCCCCCAAAGACAGCAGATTAGAGGCTTTTCCAGCATGCCTAACCCACTTGGAAAAAGCAAAATAGTGTGCAGATAGTCACATCATTAACTTTTATCCAAGAAGGAATACAGGAATTGAACAGAACATTTCAGACACTGGGAAAGAGAAATTTGGGAGACAGCCCTCCTGGCAGAGTCTGGCTAAAAACAGAAAATCCCCAATACAGGAGATGGGGAGTCAGTGTTCCTCTGCAGTCCATCTTCCCACTGGGGAAGTGTGCAATCCAGGCCACAGGAGAGCACCTTGAGCTTCCCAAGCCCTGGATCTTACTTAGGGAGTAGCTGAGAGACATTGAGAAGGAACAACCTGGGATGCATCCCATGCATTTTCCCAGACCTGGTGGCTGATAAGAGGACTCCAGTCTCAGTCCTAGCTCATAGCAAACTGTGTGGGAATCCTGTGGCCTAGCAGCAGCAGCAGAAGCAGCATCTGTTAGCATTATAAAGTCTCATGCCAGGATTGGAACACTGGGTCTTTGGTAGGAAAGGGGCCCACACAGCCAGAAATGATAAATGAGTACAGCTTGGGCCTCCAGCTTTGGGCACTAGAATTGGACCCCTGCACCCCCATCATGGGACTGGAGCAGGAGATTTGCCTGAGAGGTGTGGTTTTGGACCCAATAGCAAATTTGCAGGCTGAAGGCAGATATATGGTCTGTCTGATTCCTGTGGTTGGGATGAGGAAATGAGTCCTGATGGTTCTGGAGAGAGAGAGAGAGGCAGGTCCCATACTGTTTGCCTGGTTTTAACAATGGGTTTGCCCTTGCCTTCCTGTGCTGGGACATTGATGCAATGTCAGTTGCTCTCATCTTTGCCTAGGCATTTCTACAGGGTTTGGCAACTGTCCCTAGATCCCTGTCAGAGCCAGTGCTTCTGCCTGCTACTGGGGGACCAAATGGCTGTCTTGCCCAGTCCAGCTCTACCCAGCTTCACCTCTCCCCACCAGTCCCCTCCCCTCCCCCAAGGCTGAGTGTAAGACCCAAACCACTGAGCTTTCCCTGGCCCAACCCATTGCGTGGGACACTTAAGTACTTCTCTTGGTTAACAAAGATAAGTCGTAAACCCTACTGTTAGAACTGTAGCCAGCTGTGACCTGCAACTACCACCTGCTGGCCTGGAGGTTGACCCACACAGCCCATTACAACATCTGCTTACATAAGTGCACAGCACTTGGGAATAAGAAAAGCTTCTCATGACTTCTTTTACCACCATTGCTCATGCCACCCCAGCTTCTCAGGAGGTTATGAGCCAGCTCACCCACCCGATACACCACTACTGTAACCAGCATTTGAGAAAGCCACCACACTAAGGCTGTTTATATCCAAGGAAATCCTAGAATATTTGCTACTGAACACACTCAGAAGCAAAGTCAAACAATCCTACTCAAATTACATCATAGTAACATCCTCAGGATTAAAAAAAGTCCACTCCAGAACTCCCATTCACAATTGCTTCAAAGAGAGTAAAATACATAGGAATCCAACTTACAAGGGATGAAGGACCTCTTCAAGAAGAACTACAAACCACTGCTCAACGAAATAAAAGAGGACACAAACAAATGGAAGAACATTCCATGCTCATGGATAGGAAGAATCAATATTGTGAAAATGGCCATACTGCCCAAGGTAATTTATAGATTCAATGCCATCCCCATCAAGCTACCAATGACTTTCTTCATAGAATTGGAAAAAAACTACTTTAAAGTTCATATGGAACCAAAAAAGAGCCCGCATAAGCCAAAAGAACAAAACTGGAGGCGTCATGCTACCTGACTTCAAACTATACTACAAGGCTACAGTAACCAGAACAGCATGGTACTGGTACCAAAACAGAGATATAGACCAATGGAACAGAACAGAGCCCTCAGAAATAATACCACACATCTACAACTATCGGATCTTTGACAAAGCTGACAAAAACAAGAAATGGGGAAAGGATTCCCTATTTAAGAAATGACGCTGGGAAAACTGGCTAGCCATATGTAGAAAGCTGAAACTGGATCCCTTCCTTACACCTTATACAAAAATTAATTCAAGATGGATTAAAGACTTAAATGTTAGACTTAAAACCATAAAAACCCTAAAAGAAAACCTAGGCAATACCATTCAGGACATAGGCATGGGCAAGGACTTCATGTCTAAAACACCAAAAGCAATGGCCACAAAAGCCAAAATTGACAAATGGGATCTAATTAAACTAAAGAGCTTCTGCACAGCTAAAGAAACTACCAATAGAGTGAACAGGCAACCTACAGAATGGGAGAAAATTTTTGCAATCTACCCATCTGACAAAGGGCTAATATCCAGAATCTACAAAGAACTTAAACAAATTTGCAAGAAAAAAATCAAACAACCCCATCAAAAAGTGGGCAAAGGATACAGACAGACACTTCTCAAAAGAAGACATTTATGCAGCCAACAGACACATGAAAAAATGCTCATCATCACTGGCCATCAGAGAAATGCAAATCAAAACCACAATGAGATACCATCTCACACCAGTTAGAATGGTGATTGTTAAAAAGTTAGGAAACAACAGGTGCTGGAGAGGATGTGGAGAAATAGGAACACTTCTACACTGTTGGTGGGACTGTAAACTAGTTCAACCATTGTGGAAGACAGTGTGGTGATTCCTCAAGGATCTAGAACTAGAAATACCATTTGACCCAGCCATCCCATTACTGGGTATATACCAAAGGACTATAAATCGTGCTGCTATAAAGACACATGCACACGTATGTTTATTGCGTCACTATTCACAGTAGCAAAGACTTGGAACCAACCCAAATGTCCAACAACGATAGACTGGATTAAGAAAATGTGGCACATATACACCATGGAATACTATGCAGCCATAAAAAAGGATGTGTTCATGTCCTTTTTAGGGACATGGATGAAGCTGGAAACCATCATTCTCAGCAAACTATTGCAAGGACAGAAAACCAAACACCACATGTTCTCACTCATAGGTGGGAATTGAACAATGAGAACACTTGGACACAGGATGGGGAACATCACACACTGGGGCCTGTCATGGGTTGGGGGGAAGAGGGAGGGATAGCATTAGGAGATATACCTAATGTAAATGATGAGTTAATGGGTGCAGCACACCAACATGGCACATGTATACATATGTAACAAACCTGCACGTTGTGCACATGTACCCTAGAACTTAAAGTATAATAATAATAAATAAACCATAAAAAATAAAAAATAATCCCACTTCAACTAAAATTTAAAAATAAGGACAAGCAACTATTTGTGCAGATGTGAAGAAGTCAATATAATACTATAGGAAGTATGAAAAAGATAATATGACACCCCCCCAAAAAAACACAGTAATTCTCCAACAATGGATCCTTAAATCCTCAAAATGTCAAGTAAGATAAGTTTTTTATTTTAAAAACAGACAACTCCTGGAAATGAAATACTCATTGAAGGAATTGCAAGATACATTTGAAAGCTTTAACAATGATTTAGGGCCGGGCGTGGTGGCTCACGCCTGTAATCCCAGCACTTTGGGAGGATGAGGTGGGTGGATCACGAGGTCAGGAGATCGAGACTCATCCTGGCTAACATGGTGAAACCCCGTCTCTACTAAAAATACAAAAAATTAGCCGGGCATGGTGGCGGGTGCCTGTAGTCCCAGCTACTCGGGAGGCTGAGGCAGGAGAATGGCGTGAACTCGGGAGGCAGAGTTTACAGTGAGCCGAGATCGTGCCACTGCACTCCAGCCTGGGCAAAAGAGCAAGACTCCATCTCAAAACAAAAAGCAAAAAACAATGATTTACATCAGGAGTTCCCAACAATGATCTAGACCATGGATACAGGACACACAGCAGGAGCTGAGCATCAGGTGAGTGACTGAAGCTTCATTTGTATTTACAGTCGCTCCCCATTGCTAGCATTACTTCCTGAGCTGCTCCTCCTCTCAGATCAGGGGTGGCATTAGGTTCTCATAGGAGTGTGAAGCCTACTGTGAACTGTACATGCAAAGCATCTAGGTTGAGTGCTCCTCATGAGAATCTAATGCCTAATCTCTCACTGTCTCCCATCTCTCCCAGATGGGACCATCTGCTTGCAGGAGAACAAGCTCAGGGCTCCTACTGATTCTACGTTATGGTGATTTGTATAATTATTTCATTATATATTACAATTTAATAATAATAGAAATAAAGGGCACAATAAATGTAATGTGCTTGAATCATCCTGAAACCATCCCCTACCCGCCAGTCTGTGGAAAAATTGTCTTCCACAAAACCAGTCACTGGTGCCAAAAAGGTTGGGGGCCACTGATCTAGATCAAGTGGAAGAAAAACATCCCACAACTTGACGACAAGTGTTTTGGATGAATCTGGTCGCACAGAAATACAGAAAAGAAAAACTTCAAAAGAACAAGGCCTCCAAGAAGCATGGACTATATAAAGCAACTAAACTGAATCATTGGTGTTTCAGAGGAAGAAGAAAACAGCAAGGAGTTTAGAAAACTTACTTAAGGAAATAATTGATGAAAACAACTTAACTCGTTTAGCAAGACATCTAGTCATTCAGATACAAGAGGCAGAAAGATTAACAGGCAAATACATTGCAAAAGGACTTCACCATGACATATAGTCATCAGATTGCTTAAAGACTTCACCATGACATATAGTCATCAGATTGCTTAAAGTCAGTGTGAAGGAAAAAATTCTAAAATCAACAAGAGAAAAGCACCTAGTCATCTATAAGGGAAGCTCCATCAGACAAACAACAGACTTTCTCAGCAGATAGGGAAAGATACACTACACAAGCCAGAAGAGAATGGGATGCTATTTTCAAAGTGCTAAAAGGAGAAAAATTTTCATCCAGCTAGAATAAACTTCGTAAGTGAAGGAGAAAACGGGTCTTTCTCAGACAAGCAAATGTGGGCAACAAGCCACCCAGGTGCCGAGGCAAGAGACCGAGGGCACGAGCTATTCCAATATTATAAAATAACAAGAATTATACTAGATGTAAATCATAGATATGATTATATATGAATATCATTAATCATTAGTTTGTAGCAATTACTCTTTATTCCAATATTATAGTAATCCTTACTCTACAATTATAACCTAGGAAAAACCAGGCCATACAGAGATAGTAGCTGAAGGGGCATGGTGAGAAGTGACCAGAAGACAAGAGTGTGAGCCCTCTGTCACGCCCAGACAGGGCCACCAGAGGGCTCCTTGGTCTAGCGGTAACGCCAGTGTCTGGGAAGACGCCCATTACCAAGCGGACCATGGTCTAGCGGTAGCTGTCAGTGCCAAGGAAATGTACCCGCTACTTAGCAGACCAGGAAAGGGAGTCTCCCTTTCCCTGGGGGAGTTTAGAGAAGACTCTGCTCCACCACCTCTTGTGGAAGGCCCGACTGATGTCAGGCCCACCCGCAGTTATCTGGAGGCCTAACCATCTCCCTGTGATGCTGTGCTTCAGCGGTCACGCCCCTGGTCCGCTCTCATGTTCCATCCTGTACACCTGGCTCCGCCCTCTAGATAGCAATAGCAAAATTAGTGAAAGTGTTAAAGTCTTTGATCTTTCTGAAAAGAGCATAGAAGAAATGATGACGTAAGCTGTCCTCTCTCTCTCCGCCTCGGCTACCTAACAGGGAAGGGCCCCCTGTCCAGTGGACATGTGACTCACGTGACCTTATCAGTCACTGGAGGTGACTCAAACTCTTTACCCTGCCCCTTTTACTTTGTATCCAATAAATAACAGTGCAGCCAGGCATTCGGGGCCACTACTGGTCTCCGCATCTTGGTGGTAGTGGTCCCCCGGGCCCAGCTATCTTTTCTTTTATCTCTTTGTCTTGTGTCTTTATTTCTGCAATCTCTCGTCTCCACACATGGGGAGAAAAACCCACCAACCCCGTGGGGCTGGACCCTACAAGCAAACACTAAGAGAATTCATCACCACTGGACTAATACTATAGTAGAGGCTCAAAGGAGTCCCAGACATGGAAACAAAAGGTTGATATTTGCCATCATAAAAACACATGAAAGTATAAAATTAATAAGTCTCATAAAACAATTACACGAAGAAGAGAAAGGAATCAAATGGCACCATGATAGAACTCCATGAAACCACAAAGACAGAAGAAAAAATAAAACAAAGAATTTACAAAACAGCTAGATAACAATATATTTCAGTAACAAGATGTCATATATCAATGTTAACCTTGAACCTAAATGGATCAAATGCTCCGCTTAAAAGATACAGCCTGACTGAATAGATTTTTTTAAATGACACAACTGTGTGATACCTAGACACACAGATCGACTGAAAGTGAAGGGGTAGAGAAAAACATGCTACACAAACAGAAAGCAAAAGCAGTAAGAATAGCTATTCTTATGCCAGATAAAACAGACGTTATGTAAAAAATAAAAATTAAAAAACGTAAATAGATAATAGTGAAGGGATCAATTCTGCAGGAGGATATGACAATTCAAAATATTTATACACCCAACACCATAGCACCCATAAATAAGTAAAGCTAATATTACTAGGCCTCAAGGGATAGATACACTCCAATACAATAATGGTTGGGAAATTCAGTATCCGGCTGATACGATTTGGCTGTGTCGCCACCCAAATCTCATCTTGAATTATAGTTCCCATAATCCCCATGTGTCATGTGAGGGACCCAGTGGGAGGTAACTGAATCATGAGGGTGGTTAACTCCATGTTGTTCTCGTGATAGAGAGTGAGTTCTCACAAGATCTGATGGGATAGTTTTATAAGCGTCTGGCGTTTCTCCTGCTGGCACTCATTCTCTCTCCTGCTGCCCTGTGAAGAGGTGCCTTCTGCTATGATTGTAAGTTTCCTGAGGCCTTCTTAGCCATGCGGAACTGAGTTGATTAAACCTCTTTTCTTTATAAATTACCCAGTCTGGGGTATTTCCTCATAGCAGCATAAAAACGGACTAATACACCCGCTGTCAACATTGGACAGATCATCTGGACAGAAATTAACAGAATACTTGGATTTGAACTGTACTATATACCAAATGGACGTAACAGACATTTACAGAACACTGTATCAAATTGCTGCAGAATACACATTTTCCTCAACATATGGAACATTGTTTAGAAACACTATATATTAGACCACAAAACAAGTCTCAACAAATTTTTAAAAATAGAAATCATATCATGCATCTTAGAACACAGTGGAATAAAACTCAATAACCAGAGGAACTTTGGAAACAGTATCTACGTGGAAACTAAACAACATGATCACTGCCATAAGGTTGATGAATATATTAAGAGATATTTCTTAAGTTCTTGAAATAAATGAAAATGGAAATAAAACATACCAAAACCTACAAGATACAGCAAAAGCAGTGCTAAGAGGGAAGTGTTTATAGCAATGAATGCCTAAATCAGACAATTAGAAATATTTCAAATGAAGAGCCCAGTTATGCACCTCAAGGAACTGGAAAAGCAAGAATAAACCAAACCCAAAATTGGTAGAATGAAAGAAATAATAAAGATCAGCATAGAACTAAATGAAACAGAGACTAAAAACACAATACAAAGGATCAACACAATGAAATTTGGTTTTTCAATAGATAAATGGCTAAAAGAAGCCTCAAATAAAATCAGAAGTGAAAAAGGAGACATTACAACTGAAACCAACAAAATACAAAGGATCATTAGAGGTTTGTGAAGAATTATACACTAACATACTGGAAAACCTAGAGAAAATGGATACATTCCTAGCCACATACAACCTACCAACATTGAACCAAGAAGAAATAGAAAACATGAACAGAACAATAAATAGTAATGATCCCTCAACAAAAACTCAGGACCAGATGGCTTTACTGCCAAATCCTATCAAATTTATAAAGGAGAATTAACGTCAGTTCTTCTGAAACTATTTCAAAAAATGAAAGAAGAGAGAATTCTTTCTAACTCATTCTACCAGACCCAAATTATTCCAATATTAAAACCAGACAAGGGCACAACGAAATAAGAAAATGGCAGGCCAATGTCCTTGAACATAGACACAAAAAGCCTCAACCCAGTACGAAGCAAAGTGAATCCAACAACACATCAAAAAGATAATACAGCAATATAACGTGGGATTTGTCCCGGGGATAGAAGGATGTTTTGGCATTTGCAAGTCAATAGTCATGATGTTTCACATCAACAGAATAAAGGAACAACAAATACCAGATTCTCAATAGACACAGAAAAGGCGTTTGATAAAATTCAACACTCTTTGCAAATTAGGTATAGAAGTAACATACTTCAATATAGTGAAAGATACACATGACCCACAGCTAACATCATATTGATTAGGAAAAGCTGAAAGACTTTCCTTTAAGAACTGGTTCAAGACAAGGATGCCCACTTCTACCTACCACCCCCTCTGTTCCACATAGTGCTGGAAGTCATAGCCGGAGCAGTCAGAACATAGAAATAAAAGGTGGCCAAGCTCGGTGGCTCACACCTGTAATCGCAGCACTTTGGGAGACCAAGGTAGGCGGATCACTTGAGCCAAGTAGTTCAAGACCAGCCTGGGCAATGTGGGGAGACCCCTTTCTCCACAAGAAATATAGAAATTAGCCAGGTGTGGTGGTGTGTGCCTATAGTCCCAGGTATTCAGGAGGCTGAGGCAGGAGGATGGATTGAGCCCAGGAGGTCCAGGCTGCAGTGAGCCATGATCACACCACTACACTCCAGCCTGGGTGACAGAGCAGGGACCCTGTCTCTAAGAAAAAAAATAGAAGAAAGAAAGGAAGGAAGGAAAGGAGGAAGGGAGGAAGGGGCATCCATATCATAAAGAGAATGTTAGTTGTCTCCCTTTTCAGGTTATGTGACCATATGTAGAAAAAAAACAAAGAGTTCACCAAAAACTCATAAACCTGATAAATTCAGTAAAGTTGGAGAATACAAAGTTTGTGTACAAAAGTTAGTATCATTTCTGTACACCAGTAACAAACTGGGTAATAAGGAAATCAAGAAAGCAGTCCTATTTGCAATAGTCACATAAAAATAAAATACATAAGAATAATAAATTTAACCAATATTCTCAAATACTGATGAAAGAAATTGAAGAGATCACAGAAAAATGGAGAAATATATGTCATCATGTATAAAATACATGTAGATACTAGTCTATTTGATCATTTACTATCATAAAATATACAAAAATCCATTGTAAAAAGTTAAAAATTATTAAAACAAATACATGGCACCATTCACAGTTGGAAGAAATGTAAACCATGTTAAATCATAACCGCATAAAATTAACAGTAGTACGTACTGTATTAATGTAATAATTTCATAGCCACCTGTTGCTATTGTGATCACCAGTGTTGCCAGTGTCCACTTGAAATGTCATGTGACATACGCTTATGAGTAGTTCGTCCCTCCATTAGGTTGATTATTGCAGTAAAAGTGACCTCTTGTGGTTCTCACATAGTTTTCAATGTGTTTAGTGCAGTATCATGAATCTTGAATATTACACCATGGGACCTGTATGAAGTGCCATAGTGCTGCTGGAAATGCTCCCAAGAAGCGGAGAGAAGTCATGACGTTACAAGAAAAAGTTGTATTGCTTGATTTGTACCATAGATAGAGGTCTTCAGCTGCAGGTGCTGCCATTTCACAAAGAATGACTTAGCATATCATTGTAAAACACATAAAAGGACAGAAAAATCTATTCATGAAGCCATTGCTATAGCTACACCAACAGGCACAAAAACTTTATACTTTTTGCTAAATACCTTTTGCAGCCTTTATGTGGGTGCAGGATTTCTATAAGGAAGGCATACCTGTAGTATCCAATGTGATTTGAGGAAAAGAAAAGTCATTATATGACAACTTAAAAGGAAAGCAAAGGATATAGCACTGGAGAATTTAATGGCAGCAAACGTTAGTTTGAAAAGTTTAGAAAGAGATTTGGCTTTAAAAATGACAAGATAACAGGAGAAGTAGCTTTTGACGATCAAGAAGTAGCAGTCAAGTCAGGTTCCCAGATTTCATTAAGAAAATCATTGAGGAGAAAGGTTATTTTTGTGAACGGATTTTTAATATTGATGAAAGTGCCCTATTTGGGGGGAAAGTGCCACAAAGGACATTTATTAGTAAGGTAGAGAAGAGAGAATTAAGACTTCAGGCATTTGTTTTGTGCAAATGCAGTCAGGTCTATGATCAAGACTGCCCTTATTGATAAAGCTACTAAACACCAGCCTGGAAGGGAAATTATAAATACCATCTGCCGGTTTTTAATTGCAAAACAGGGAGGACCGAATAGTGGGAACCCTCTGAATTGGTTTTATCAGTGCTTTGTCCCTGAAATTAGGAAGTACCTTGCCAGGGTAGGACTGCCTTTTAACGTTTTTTTGATATTGGATAATGCCCCTGGCCACCCAGAACCCCATGAATTCAATACTGAAGGCTTCAGAGTGGCCTTCTTGACCCCAGACATGCCTCTAATTCAACCTCTAGAGCAGGGGGTCCTAAGGACCCTTACGGCTTAGTATGCACAGTATGCTATGTAAAGCATTTAATGCTGTAGAATAGAATCCAGATAAAACATCACAAAAGTCTGGAAAGATGGCACTGTTGAAGATGTCATTATTATTATAGGAAATGCCATGAAAGTCTAAACAAAAGATTTCTATGGGAGAAAACTGTGTCCAGACGTAGTACATGATTTCACAGGATTTATGATAGAGCCAGTCAAGGAAATCATGAAACAGATTGTGGATATGGCAAAAAAAAAAAAAAAAAAAAAAGTTAGGGGGTAAAGGGTTTCAAGATGAGGATGTTGAAGAAATTCAAGAGCAAATAGATACTACACCAGAGTAATTAAATTAATAGGAGATGACTTGATGGAAATGGGTGTTTCCATGTTGTTCAAGGGGCAGCTATGATAACAATATCAAACAAACTATAGGTTGAGTACCCTTTATCCAAAATGCTTTGGACCAGAAATTTTTCAGATTCTGGAATATTTGCATTATACTTACCGTTTGAGCATACCAAATCCAAAATTCTGAAATGCAAAATGCTCTAGTGAGCATTTCCATTGAGTTTCATGTTGGCACTGGAAATGTTTCATACTTAGGAGCATTTCAGATTTTAATTTCAAATGCTTAACTTATATGGAAAAGGCAGGAATACCTCCAATTTCATTGTATGGCACCAGTATCATTCCTAATACCAAAACTAGACAGAACTACTACAAAACAAAACTACAGACCAGGACCCCTCTTGAACATAGATGCACAAATTCTAAAAAATTTAGCAAATTATATTTAACAATATATATAAATTCATCATGACCAGGTGATGTTTACTCCAGGAATATAAGTTTCATTTAACATTCAAAAATTAATGTATTATTACCATATTAGCAGGCCAAAAAAGCTAAAACTGTATGATCTCAATAGATGGAGAAAAGATATTTGCCGAAGTCCAACATCGATTCCTGATTTTTAAACTTTCCTCAAACTATTAGGGCATCTATGAAAAACTGACAGCCACCATTATATTTAATGGTGAACGACTAAATTCTTTTTTCTAACATTAGGAACAAGAGAAGAATGTGTCCTCTGATCACTTCTGTTTCTGCGTTGTTCTTTAGATTCTAGCCAGCACAGTAAGTAAAAAGGAAAAGACGTAAAAGACATCCATTGTGGAAATGGAGAAGTAAGCTGTCTTCATTTACAGACAACATTATTTTCTGTAGAAATTTCGTGTAGAAGATATGTTGGAATCTATGAAAAAGACCAACAGTAGATTTAACAAGGTTCCATGATACAAGATCAATATGAAAGAATTAATTTTATTTCTATATATGAGTAATGAATAATTGAATTGGTTTTAAAAAATGCATTTTCATCAAGCAGATGGTGCACACCTGTAGTTCCAGCTACTTGTGAGGCTGAGGTAGGAAGATTATTTGAACCCAGGAGTTTGAGTCCAGCCTGGGCAACATAACAAGACCCTATCTCTAAGAAAGTTAAATTTTAAGAAATCCCATTTTCCATAGCATCAACAAATAGGAAATTCTTAACAATAAATCTGACAAAATATGCAATATGCCCTATGTAGTGAAAACTAACTATTGCTGAGGAAATTAATCAAGAACTAAGTAGGTGGAGAGACACATACACAGTGTTCAGTGGAAGACTTAATGTTGTTAAGATGCCAGTTCTCCCCAAGTGGATGTATACATTCAGCACAATCTCATTGTAAATCCCTGATGTCTTTTATCATAGAGATGGACAAACTGATCCTAAAGTTCATATGGGAATGCAAAATATCAAGAAAAACCACAAGGATGTTAGAATAGAAAGGAAATGTGGGATGGTTAACACCACCTAATTTCAGATCTATTACAAAGCCTCAGAAATCAGGACAGGATTGTATTTCCTTAATGGTAAACAAATAGATGCATGGTACAATAGTGTCCGCACATAGACCCACATATTTATGGACAACTGGTTTTTGACAGATTTAGAAAGGTAATTCTGTGGAGAATGGACAACCTTTTCAACAAATGATTCTAGAACAATTGTATGTCCATATGCAAAAAAAAAAAAAAAAAAAAGTTCATCTGTACCTGACAGAATACACAAAATGAGTCAGAACCCTAAATACAAAGTACGAAACTATAAAATTTCTAGAAGAGAAAACGGGGAAGTCTTTGTAACCTTGAAATAGGCAAAGCTTCCTTAATATGATACTAGAGCACAGTCTACCAATGAAAAAATGATTAATCGACTTCATCAAATTAAAAACTGCCATAAAGTGAGGGGAAATACATGCAAAAGGATTTTTATCTGGAATATATAATGTTCTCTCAAAAGTCAATAATACAAAACAACTCAGAAATATAGGCAAAACACATGAACAGACACTTCACCACAGACAATGTACACATATAGGCAAAACACATGAACAGACACTTCACCACAGACAATGTACACATGGCCAATAAGTACATGAAAAGATGGTCAACATCATTACAATAGGGAAATGCAAATTAAAACTGTAAGGAGGCTGCGTGCCGTGGCTCACACCTGTAATCTCAGCATTTTGGGAAGCCAAAGTGAGAGGATTGCTTGAGCCAAGAAGTTTCGGACCAGCCTGGGCAACATAGTGAGACCTCGTCTCTACAAAAATAAAAATAAAAAATCAGTTGGTCATGGTGGTGCACCCCTGTAGTTCCTGCTATTCCAGAGGCTGAAGCTGGAGAATCACTTGAGTGAGCCCCAGAGGTCAAGGCTACAGTGAGCCGTGTTTGCACCACTGTACTCCAGTTTGGGAAGCAGAGCAAGACCTTGTCTTAAAAACAAAACAAAACAAAACAAAACACAAAATCTCACCATACCAAGTGTTGGTGAGAATGTGGAGGAACTATAATTTTCATGTATTGCTGTTGCAAATGTAAAATAATATGCCCAGTTTGGAAAACACTTTGGCAGTCTCTTAAATAAAAGTCAGACAACTATCAGGTGAGCCCATCTTTCTACTTGCAGTATTTACCTCAGGAAAAAAGAAAGCATATGTCCATGCAAAGAATTGAGAATGTTGTTGTCAGCTTTTCAGTACAGCCAAAAACTGGACCACAGTGCAGATGTCCCATCAACAGGTGAAAGGATATTGTGGGCCATCTCTTCAGTGGGATACTAGATAACATTAGAAAGGAGTTAACTGTTGAAACATGCACCAAGGTGGCTTAATCTCAAGATAATCATGCTGAGTCAAAGAAGCCGTACACACAGTAGTACATACTGTATCTATTCCATTTATGTAAAACTCATGATGTTGCAGACTGTTACAGCAAAAAGTAGATCATGGAGGGATGGGGTGGCGGGAGGAGGGAATTAGGAAGGGGCACAAAGAAGTTTGGGGATGTGGTAGATACACTGTCTTGATTGTAGTTAGGTTTTCATGGGTAATGAAAACAGCGTAGATTTCATATGCAACTTCAAACTGTAACTTTAAATATATGTCAGGGTGTAGATTTTAAATATATGCAGTCTATTTTAAGTCAATTATATCTCCATAAGGTGGTTTAAAACCAGCGTGACAGAAGGGACTCATAGATTAGGCTTCAAAGACGGAGCAGCCACACGCAGTGTGTGGATTTTGTATCTTGATTCAAACAAGCCAGCTGCTTAAAGACATTCTGTAAACACCTAGGGAAATTGTAGTATAGTGTGAGTATTGGATAATGTTGATTAATCATTGTTACTTTTGTTAGGAAAGACAGTGGCATCTAACAAAAGCCCGTGTCTATTAGAGGTGCTTAGTGAAAATTTTATGGGTGAAATTATGTGATGCTTGCCATATGCTTCAAAATCATCTAACACAGTAAAGAGGGAAACAGATGAAAAATAGAAGTAAAGTACTGGTAATGGAAGCCGGATGTTAGATACATAGGGAAGGCTTTATTAAATCATTCTCTGTTCTTTTGTGTGTTTAAAACTTTCCCCTAAATTTTTTCTTACATGTTTCTATGGGTTTTTAACATTCTTAAGGTGTCCGTTGTTTTGGTCCCCGCCTTGCTCCGTCAGGAGCGGCATCTGCCTTTTCCCACAGTGTAAGGCCTGGATGTGTCTAGAGTGACGTCTCCCTGATGTGCCTGGGACAGTCGCGGTTTTTGCCCCTTGTCCCAGTGTGAGTGTTCCTAGGGCCCTCTGATGCACAAAGCTTTCTAATTTGAACAGGAAAGCAGATGCTCACCTTAGTTTTCTTCACATACCTGTTCTTTACACCTATTTATCTTTACTAGATTATTACTTTGCCTGGAACCCACTCCTACCCCTACACCCGGAACCCCCTCCTAACCCTACGCCTTTCCCATCTAACCCCTTCCCAGTCTTAGTCCAGGCCTCGACTCCTCAAGACCTTCCCTGACGTTCCTCCCCTGCCTCGCCCCACCCCTCCTAGTCGCCTCCTCTGTGCTGCCACCTGGCCCTGGGCATGCTTGAGTATACACCATTAACGCAGCTGTCCCAGTTCAGTGAGCTTTTCCAGGGTAGGGATCACCATCTCTTCATCTGTGGGTTGTTGGTGCCAAGCAGTGCTAGCAGTGTCTGGGAGAATGTTGCATAAATCCAGCCTTGGAGTTTCTCTGCCCTCACCCTTACAGATAATGAAAACAGCTCAACCCTGGAAGGTAAGTACACCTTCCCAGGATCCCAGAGGATGATAGTATAGCGAGCCAGAAGTGGAGCTGTGACGCATTCCTTCTCTTCACACTTGATGATGCGATAAGCAATTTCAAGGAGCGGTCAAGGTTTCCCTTAATAAGACGGCATTTACACACCTAATGGTGATCATTCGTTGAGCAGAATCCAAAAGCCATTGGAGCAGCAGGAGTGGCTCTGGAGTGTGCAAGAAGTAGGTTTGATAGTGCTGTGATGTTTCAAATGTTTATTCGACACAAAATGCAGCAATTATGACACCTAACTTTTTTACTGCTGGAGAATTGAAGACCTATAGTTCTATATTTCTGTTTGACCTAACAGGGTGTTCTAACACTTTTTACTTTTCAACCAGAATGCTGAATCTTGATACAGCCACCATTTTTTCTATTTTATCATTCTCTTATATGTAGGACATGGAGAGGGATGTAGTAAAATAGAGACTTTATACTTTTAATTGCTTAAAAATAAAGTACGTCATTCAGAGATCTTACACTTAGTATCTGTTTTTATTTGCAATTTTCATAGCGTCGTCTCGGAGATGCAGCCAAGAAAGCCATCAGTAAATTGACAACCAGGACAGTAAAGAAGGGTGACAAGGTACAGTCATGAAACAACTTCAGCACCGTAAAAGTAATCCAGCAGTTTTGTTTTTGTTTGGTGGGAGAGGACACACCCTAATTGTTTACATTTCATTCGTTAGATTTTCTCCAACTACACTACCTAATGCTTTATTTTAAACTACCTTCTTACAGTAACTCTAGCTGTGTTTTCCTACAGAGGTTTCTTCTGCTAAAACCTAGCATGCATTTTCAGAGAATTCTGGTGGGACCATTTGTGCGTTAAAAAGCCAGGAGATGTGTTTTCTTCCTATACTTCCTGGGACTTTGCTATGTCTCTTTTGTTGTTTTATTTTTTCACTAGATACATGGAGAGTTGAAGACCTGCATTTCTAGGGAGTTTCACCTAAAAAGGTGCTCTCTTTACAATGGGTTGAGCAGTTTGAAAGAAGAGCAAAGTGTGTCAGGGTCATCCCTGGTGGCTTGGAGGACCAAGGGAGAGAGGCAGTGTCAGGATGCTGTGGCGGAGACCTCTAACTGACATCCCGCCTCAGAGCTCTAGTTATGGTAGAGCCCTGCTTCTCCGCTAGAAGGACACAGTTGCATCTTAGTGCTGCCCCTACATTCAGAGTATTCAAGGTTATCTAGAATGGGAAAATGGCATCTCAAAAGGCATAAAACGAAAACTGTCTCCTGCCCCACACCCAATTCTAATATTTAAGCACAGACTTGTGCCTGGAAGGATAATTTCATATGATTCTCTGTCTTCCTAAGTTTTACCAATTTCTTGGACTTTACCCATTTTATTCCCATTGCCTTGATACCACCGTATCTAGTTGCCTTTGAAACAGCTTCAGAGGGTGGAGACATTCTTAGTGAACTTTATTGTACACCAAAGAAACAGAAAAGGGGGAAATCACTTAAGAAAATAGAAGCAGCATCAAAACGGCTTGCATTTCAATGGCAGAGGAGTGGTGACCACGGTGACAGTGTAGATGCCTTCTTGGCCTGGTAGCCTCAGCTGCCACAATAGTATGAAATTCCCTGGAGCGGATTTAACCTACCCATCTGACTTTGTATCCCGGGCCAGCACAGTTATTTCCTTTAATTATTAAAGCCAATTCATCTTAGTTTGTACCTCCTAGACCTGGCAAGAGTTGTCCACTGAGTTTCAGTCCAAGTGACAGTGACACAGCAAATAGTCTGTTTTCTTGGCTTAGGTTCCTGGCATGTTTTGTTTTATGACAACTTTTGCAAAACCCCTTCTCAGTCCTAGGAGGAAGGAAATCAATTAATCTGGTGTCTGAATACCTGGCTGACTCTTTCTCACTCTTAATGAAGACCGAGTATTGAATTGAGCCAATGACCCTTCTCCATCCCAAATCTGTGACCAGATTCACAGCTCCCATTCTTGGGGTGGGTTTCTAGACAGCAGTCTGCTGGGACTCAACTCACCATCTTTCCTGTCTGTACTTAGGTGTGTGTTTAAGTGAACATCCTGGTGAGCTTCCAGGCTGTGTCAAACATAGCAGTGAAACCTCTTCAGACCAATAAGTAATGCAGGGGGAATGAGGGATGGGGAGATCATGATGGTCCAAGCTGATTCTAACCTGGAAAAAATTAGAATTCCGACTTAATTTTTGTAAGACATATCATAACAAAATTAATATAGATTGTTATAATTTTTAAAACAAAATAGATTGACTTAGACATAATTTGGGCCAATATAGTTAGGCAAATAAAAACAAAATAATTTTAATCATTTTTCAGTTTATAACACTTGCTTACCATAGTAGCCACAGAAAGATTCTGAGCTGAATTGCATCCCAACCATTTATATACTTGCAGCGTGTGACTTTTTGTTTCTGTACTTTTCATTTTAGGAAACTGACCCAGACTTTGATCATTGTGCAGTCTGCATAGAGAGCTATAAGCAGAATGATGTCGTCCGAATTCTCCCCTGCAAGTATGTCAACTTCATTTGTTTGAGAAAGAATGATATTAATGTGCTTTGTATGCCTCCTTTTCAGGGTGGGCATCTCCCTTGCTTTTGAGCGCCACCCACCTCGTGGCTTTCTGGAGGCCAAGTCCGCTGTGCATTGCTGGCCATGGGGCTGAGGCCAGCAGGGAGTGGTGCTGTTCAGCAGGTGCGGGCTGCACGGCCTTCCGAGGTGTAGCCAATATGCGATGTGGCACGCGGCCTCCAGACTCCCCAGACACAGCCTAGGAGTGTTGAGGTCGAGAATTCTTGTTCTATGGTTTCGTTTATCTTTTTATGTTTGTTTTCTTTTATTTATTTATTTATTTATTTTTTGAGACGGAGTCTCGCTCTGTCACCCCAGGCTGGAGTGTGCAGTGGCGCAATCTCGGCTCACTGCAAGCTCCGCCTCCTGGGTTCATGCCATTCTCCTGCCTCAGCCTCCCGAGTAGCTGGGACTACAGGTACCCACCACCATGCCCAGATAATTTTTGTATTTTTAGTAGAGACGGGGTTTCATCATGTTGGCCAGTTGGTCTTGAACTCCTGACCTCAGGTGATCTGCCTGCCTCAGCCTCCCAAAGTCCTGGGATTACAGGCGTGAGCCACCGCACCCGGCCTGTTTTCTTTAAAGATGGGGTTCTCACTATGTTGCGCACAGCTGAACATGAACTCCTGGGCTCAAGCAGTCCTCCTGCCTTGTCCTCTCAAAGTGTTGGGATTACAGGCATGAGTCACTGTGCTTGGCATTGTTTTGTGATTCCTGTGGGTTTCAAAAACAGCCCCTTGTTCCTCTCCATCTTAGACTACATCTCCAAGCCCTTCAGTGAGACTTCCATCGAGCTCACCTGGCTCTGGGTACAACAACTCCAGGGACTTGGATTAAATCTTTTTCTAAACCTGGATTATGCAAAATGGAAAGAACTGATACCTGCTTTGTGCCTGCTGTGGTTCAGATGCTCTGCTCTGAGCAGACTATACTCACTGTCTCCTATAATTCTCCCAGCAGTCCTAAGAGGGTGTGTTTTCCCCGTTGTACAGTGAAGGATGGTGAGCCGATAGCAGGTTCCAGGGTCGCACAATTCAGAAATGGCAGAGCTGTGTCAAGGCCTGCCTTTAATGTGGTGCTCCCCACATGGGACCAAGCCTTCCTCCATGAGGAAAGGACTCGCCTGTGCCTGGTTGCCCTGGAAACAGCATGTTGGTTTCTCCTGTGGCTCCTCTCAAGCTGGGGAGCATGAAACTAAGATACACAGTTCTGAGTATCAATTGGATAAATAGGAAATCACCTGCCAAGAAGCCTAAAACCAAAGAGTTTGCCTCTTCCTCCTCCCTTCCCTTTAAAAGACATCCACACAACTCCAGCCTTATAATATGGAGCATGTGAATTAATAAAATAATTGTGAGTTGTTATCTCCATGAGGCTACTGGTCTTATTTTACTTACAAAGTAATCTATTTTGAGTCTAGGAAGATCTGTTTTTAAAAAAAAAAAAAAAATCAAACTGAAGAAGAATTACATGTACTGAAACAGAAATCCAAGATTCTGGAAGTCCAGTCATTCTAGTTTACATATAAAGGAAAATCTATAAAACTAAATGTAAGCTGTCCTCTAGAAAATTAAACTGTGGAACAGCCAGTCTTCCTTCACATGCAGTCATTGACGGTCTAAACGTGAGGCTAAAGGAAATGCACACGCCAGTGCAAATCAGGAGAAGGGCCAGCGGGACACAGGGAGGCGTCATCCACACTTGCCTGCTTCAACACTGGAATGACCAGGAGAAGCCAAGGCTCTCCAAATTCTGTCTTGCTGTTTCAGCCCAGGATCCTCCAGAACCATATGGCACCTAAAACTACGGGCCTCCAAAACCATTCATGGGTATATTACTAGAATGAGGGGATCTTCCCTCAGGGGAGGCTCGGCCTAAAGTAGTTTATTCTGGGAACTTAATCCCATTATCTTCATCCCTTCAGTGTTGACTTTTCCAGTTTCATTCGGAGTTATCTTTTTCCTTTTGTATAATTTTTATTTTTTGTAGAGTTGGGGTCTCACTATGTTGCCCAGGCCGCTCTGAACTCCTGGCCTCAAGTATCCTCCCACCCTAGCATCCTGAAGTGCTGGGATCACAGGCATGAGCCTGACGTCTGGCCCTCTTTTTAAAATTTAGTTCATTGCTTTCCAGACCTGACTGCATCAGAGTCAGTGGGAGGCTTTCAGAAGCATCCCGGGTGGAGGCCGGGCATATGCGCTTTAATTATAAGTTCCCGCCCGATTCTCGTGCTGCAAAGCCACGCCTGCCACCAAGGTCCAGGCCATGGTTGATCTGAACCATTTCTGCGCTGCACCTGCCACCATAGAAGTGGTTTGTGTTTGTGGTCTGCTTGTGAATGTTAGAATTTTTGGCACGGTTCACGGAATTTCGCTGCACCCTCTATGGTACTGTTACTTGGTTGTCTTTCAGTACTGGGTCACTGTGTTACTAGCTGTGCTTACTGCCCTGGCTGAGTGTAGAGTTTTCCCTGTTGCTGTGGAACTGAGCGGCTGTTTGTTCCTCTTACACTCCACGCATCACCAAGCTGTAACTTTCCCTGAGACTGCACCACACAGCCTGCTCAGCACAGCACACCATCTCACTGCCATGTAGCGACAGTGCAGTTATCAGGTGTAGCAAAAATTAACTTTACACATCAAGCGGTACTTGTGACAGTCTTTAAGCTAGAGCAGCATTTCTCAGCCTTGGCACTGTTGACATTTGGGACCAGGTCATTGTGTGGGGGTGTGGGCCTGGCAGTGTCCTTGGCCCTCTACCCACTAGGTGTCAGTAGCGCCCACCCACACACAGTTGTGACAACCAAAACTGCCTCCAGATGAGAACCGCTGAGCTGAGGATGGCTGTGCGCGGCTCTTCAAGCCTCACCCCAGCAGATGCCACTCGCAGCTGCGCCTTCGCGCTCACCAAACTGCCGCTTACAGAATTCCTTCTGCCTTGGGACGCCTCCCCGCCCCTATTGTCTTTGAAGCCCAGAGTCGGTGTTACCTGCTGTGGCTTTCTGTACCTCATGTTGCTAAGCGGTTCTGTTCCCTCACCGTCTTCCCACGGGACTCTGAACAGACTTGGCAAGACAGAGCCTCCCCGCCTGGCTGGCGCTCCGCATTCGGCACAGCAGCACCTGCAGGTGTGTTCACTCTACTTCAACACCTTAACTCACACGCTTGTTCTTCACTCTCAGAGGACCGCTTCACCATTGACTGCCCAGAGGAAGCAATGGGTTTAATTCCCTCAGCGTGCTGACCCGGGTGCGCAGGCCGGAGAGGCCGTCTGCTGCGGTCCATGCCGCTCCTCCCCGCGCCGCTGCGTGCCTGCTCTCTCCCTTCCTCGGGGCCTCGTTCTCTTGGCTGGCTGCTCCTTCCAGTGTTCTGTCTCCACTCGCCGGCATCTCGTGACACTCGCATTTCCCAGTCCAGTTTTTAAAACTCTCTTTCAAAGCCATCGCCCTCCAAGTACTGCCCCACAGCGTCTGCTGTCACACCTGCCCACTGCCTCTTCCCTCCGTGAGGGAGGGAGATGGGCCTGGACACCCTCGTGTCCATCTTTCCTTAACGATTCACAAGCTCAGCTAGGACTTTCTATCCAGAGCTGTCAAGCCGCTCATGGATTGCCTGCTTCTTGCCACGTGACGTTTCCTTTTCCTCTTCTGTCGCACTATTTACTGTGGACAGATGGCAGTTGGCATGGCGGAGGGGCCTCCTCCTCGGCTCAGTGATCACGGCTGATTCTCCTTTGGATGTTAGCCAGCAGGTCTTAGAAACCGAGGAACTGTCACCTGGTCTTATTAGACCTCTTAAAGGTCGGCCATCGGAGTGTGTAGTCGTTAGAAGTACGTTTTCAGAAGTGGAGTTGCCGCGTGGATGAACGTATGTTTCCATGCCACTTCAGGAGCTAAAGCGGGGGGCCGGCCGCTGCAGATGTCTGAGGCTCCACTGCAGCCGAGGGTCCATAGAGACAGAGACTGCTGCCAGCCCCAGCTAGCAGAAGAGAGTTCTTGTCTGGGACCTTTAATAATCCTGCATCCTTTTATATTTGCCAGGTTCTTACATGGCACCAAGAGGCTGCAGAGCTGTGAGAGCAACTCACCTTCAATATAGAGGCCTCCCCTCCCGCAGCACTCTTCTGCTCACTCTAGTTCATGGCATGTGTGGGACATAGGAAAGGGGAGGGCGCTGAATTTCATGATTGCTGGGTTTGTTCCTTTCATGTTCTATTTGTTTCTCGTTCTGTATCCCCAAGTATTTCTCATAGGAATAAAGGACTTTGTTGGCGCTCAGTATGCTTGTGCTTTTCAGGTTTCACTGTCCACGTTACCTGCTTTCCGTCCCGATGCACCACC